>NC_000006.12:12181212-12332727 GCF_000001405.40 Homo sapiens
AGCCGGGCATGGTGGCAGGTGCCTGTAGTCCCAGCTACTCGGGAGGCTGAGGCAGGAGAATGGCATGAAACCGGGAGGCAGAGGTTACAGTGAGCTGAGATTGCGCCACTGCACTCCAGCCTGGGCAACAGAGTGAGACTCCGTCTCAAAAAATAAAAAATAATAAAAATAAATAAATAAATAAAAATTTTTTTAGAAACAGGGTCTCACTCTATTGCCCAGGATGGAGCAGCAGAGTGAGACCCTGGAGTGCAGTGACACAATCATAGCTCACTGCAGCCTCAACCTCCTGGTCTCAAGCAATCCTCCCACCTAAGCCTCCCAAGTAGCTGGGACTACAGGCGCATGCCACCATGCCAGGTGTTTTAACTTGGCTTATAAACTCTATCAGATCTGTTATTACAGAGAACTGAAGTAATCCAAAAGAAAAGTATTCGGAGACTTTGAGTAGATTCTCAAAACAACAGACACCCAAATGCTGAAACATTGACGCCCTCGCTACAGTCAGTACAGGAAAATGTGAATATTATCCTGGATGCCATCATAGTGATACAAGTTGCAAAGGTGAGAGCTTGTATTTGTCAAAGTGTAGAAGTGGTTCTTCTTACATCATAAAACATGGATGCTAACATCTAGATGACTTACCTTAAAATCCCATTTTTTTCTCTTTTGATCATAATAATGCATTTTGTGGTACAAATAAGAGAGGCTATTTTCTTTGCCAAAATAGCTTGAGAGTGATCAGAGCCGAGATATGGAAACTATGGAATACCTCATATTTCTTCTCCTGAAAGCTGATTACCCAGATATCCAAATTCATTATTCTGTAGTTTATTCTCAGTGTATTTTCCTAAGATTTGGAAATTAGACAAGTTCATACATGGGGCCCAGAGTTTCAAGCACTTCCTGTATTAACAGTAGATTACAAAGATAGCATGAAAAATCGGAAAAGAATTGAAGATGCCAACTAACGCACCTAAAAATCAATTTCATGAACTTGTCATGTTGAAAAGTCAAATAGAAAATAATTTATGTGTGATATCAGTACCATCTTTTCCTTTTTTTCTTAAAACAAAAATTTCCCTTTTATTTAAAGAAAAGAGAAAAATAAGAGAAAATAAAGTATATGAAGAATCACACTCAGAAATTGCTTCTTCCTGTCGTGCCTCAGGGATGTGAAGCAAAAAAATAACAGGCATATTGATCATAAAGCTGACAGGTTATTGGTGACTCTAAGAGATCTATTGTCCCATCCCCAACTAGCAGCAAAAGTTCTGATGACATGTGAATTGATATGAAATCAGGTTTCATAGTGATTTCAAAGAAGGTTTTCAGTTTAGTTCAGGGCTGAAGGAAATGTCTGTTTCTTTGGAGAGGAAAGATGATGTGACATAGTGATTGAGTCTTGAACCAGGGGCCAGAGTACGTGGGTTCTTCCCTCAATCTCACCTCTTGGGTTCTTTGTGACTTGCTATCTCTGATCTTCCATTCTTTCCTTCTTAAAGAATAGTGCGTGCCATGCCTGCATCAAAAGAGTCTTGCGAGGAAGATCCAGTGAGGAAATGTGTATAATTGCCTAATAATATATAAACAGTACTGTGCAAGTAGAAGGTGTCATTAATAACATCAGAATGCCTTTGCGATTACAAATGTGGGTGACACTGTGTGCATGAGTACTGCAGGATGTGGCGTCCAATCACATGGTGGCCCTCCCCGGTGACTCAAGAAAGGATGCACATCTCAGCACTGAAGGAGACCTGATTTTTCTAAAGTGAAGAAGTAAAAATGATGCCAGAGACCAAACTGCAGTATAACATTATTCATGGGGGAGTCTGTATCACAGGACATTTAAAGGGAGAAAACTTACGTATAAAAAAAGAAAATGTGCTTTCAACTAGAACAGCAAGAAAAATGATTTTTTTTAATTCCAGTAAAAATTTAAGCCAAAACGAAACAAGAGAAACTTCAGGAGTCTACCAATCCTAGTTGTAATCCTTTTGAAAAACAGGAAAACTTGAGAACAAGAGAACAAACAAGGTAGAACAAAGTTGTTTTTACTGGTCTAACATCCTCTGTAGTATTAATTAGATACATGAAACACCCAGAAGGAGAACTAAGTGAGAGAAAGAGAAGGAAAGGCAAATTTAAAGGATGTGACTCCTGTTCTGTGGAGCAGACTCGCTTTAGCATCCTCTTCTGTTTATTAAATATTGTGTGCAAATGTCTGGGGTGCCAGCTACGTTATGGAGTTCTTGGAGATATGTTCTACAGTGATCTTTCAGATAAAAGCCCTTCTTTTTTAGATGAGAAGTTTAACTGAGTTAACTAAGTTTTAATCAATTAATTTAATCTTGTCCTACTTGGACTAGAATTTAGATGATGTCCTGATTTCTCATCTTTTTGCCACCTTTCATGGTTTTTCACATTTATAAGATAAGATCATTTAATTATGGGACAGTGATTTCAACTCATTTTTGGATTCGTCTAGCCATCTACACTCAAAATCGTAGTGTGGCACATACCTCTAATATTCATATATAAGCCCAAATTAACTATATCGTAATAATTTTGTTATATCCCTTGAGATACAATATACAAAAGCAAGAGATAGAATTTATGGTTGTATTTGCCCATGTGAAGTTACTGAAGTTTGAACAATAAATAGCTAACAAAAATAAATTTAAAAGAATTTCAGATAATTAAACTCAACATTATTTTAAGGAGCTACAGTGGCAGGGATTCCAGGCCAAATCACATTGTAAAGATAGATAGATAGATAGATAGATAGATAGATAGATAGATAGATAGATAGACAGACAGACAGACAGACAGACAGACAGACAGACAGACTGATTTGGGGGGAAGTGGGAGCAATTTGTCAGAACGTAAAAGAGAACTATTTGAATTCTGTCAAATCATTTTACCTGGGGAACACTTAGATGTTGGAGGATTACCTTTTCCTTTGGCTTCAAGAGAAAATAGGCAGTGTTTTCAGCAAACATCATGATTTTTGATCTCTCAAAGCCTTTGTATTGAGAATACAGATGATATATTTGTCTCTATTTTGTACTCGGATCTGGAATTTCCTAGAATGTTACCTACAAAAGATTTAGATATAAATATCTTGAAGAACTTTCAGCACAAATGTCAAAATTTTTTCTTTGTCACCTGTTTACCAATTACAGTATCATCACACTAAACACAGACTCAAACTTCTCTTCATTCCACTATTCCAGAATGGAACACAAAAATGGTATATTTTGATCTGTATTTATTGCCATTGATTAATGTGGCATTCGCAAACAATCCCATTTGGGCAGACCATGTTTGCATTTTAATTTCATTGCAATCAACGTAATGAAGCTATTGATCGTTTCTTCCATTTTCCCTTTCATTTGCCTCTTAAATTTGAACCGCAGCCCTTTGTGCCTCAATCTGTTGTCACAGATGGAATTTCTTAGAATGCATTTCCTGTTTCTCTGAAGCAGTTAGAATCGAAAAAAATCACTTCATATCATACATTTAAATTCCACCAATAAAATCAAAACTTTTATGAGTCATTATGCAATTGTCCCATAGAGTAAAAGGTTCAGCTGAAAAGTGATATGTATTATTATTTCATTGCAACTTTATAAAACTTTCCTAGGAGAAGTCATTATTTATTTAAAAATAAAAAGCAGTGGAAGTCTCTAAAATATTTTTTACACATTTCAGGCTAAGGTTTAATATTCATACATGTGTACACACACACAATGAATATTTAGAGGTAAAATTTCTGAAAGAAACATTTTTATATTAAAAAGGAAGGGACTTCTGATTATGAACATGACTAAATAACAGGTTTTGAATGTAGCTACTGAAAAGTAATGAACTCTCAAACTGGACAAAAATGATGAAGTAACTGTTTTCAGACATTGGACAACTTACCACAAAGGGCTGTTGTCCATTCAAGATGGAATCACAGGCAGGCAGACACACCTTGCCTTTAGCTTTCTGCCTGGGGCACTTTCCACACTGTGGTGTAAGGCGTTCACCCAGATTGACAGCAGTGGTCTTGCTGGGTGGAGGGAACAGTAGAGTTCAGGGCCACTGACGCAGCTATAATTTTTGAAGAGGCATATCCAGAGAGGAAAAAGCTGCACGGAAGCGTAGCTCTAGAAATCTGCATATAGGTTCTTTTGAGTCATTGGCATGCACATGTGAAACTCCATGATTTCTGGCAGAGAAGGGCTATAAGAGGCTCTGAGTTGAACTGGGACACTGCAGGTTCCACAGTGCTGAGGGGCACTGGCGTTCTGACCTGGCAGAGTGGAGTCATTTCACGTAATACCTCAGGCATTCTGTTTTGAAATCACAGAAAAGCCACACCTTAAAAGTAGGACTGACAACCAAATTAAAAAGTGAGCCAAAGACTTGAATTAGAGAGTTCATTTTAAAAAGGTATACATATATGAATGGTTAATAAGCACATGAAAATTTGCTCAATACCAGTAGTTATTAGAGAAATGTGAATTGAAACACCAGTGGCCTATGTACCACTATACACCCATTGGAGTGGCTGTAATAAGAAACAAGAATACCAAGTGTTGGCAAGGATGTGGAGAAATGGGAACCATCATGCATTCTGATGGAAATGAACATGGTATATCCACTTTGAAAAACATTTTGCTGGTTTATTGAAATGTTATACAAAAATTTATCATTCAACCTAGCAAATTCACTCCTAGAAATCTAATCAAGAGAATTAAAAACATATCTACACAGAGATATGTACATGAATGTTCACCACAGCATTATTTATAATAGCCAAAAGCAAGTAAAAATCTAAATGTTCATCAACTAGTGATCAGATAAACAGAATGTGTGTATCCATATAATGAAATTGTAAACTCAGTTATTTATAATAGCCAAAAGCAAGTAAAAATCTAAATTTTCATCAACTAGTGATCAGATAAACAAAATGTGTGTATCCATACAATGAAATTGTATATTCAGCAAGTAAGTAGAATGATTACTGGCATATGTATTAATATTACATATATACATATTAATAATACATATATACATATAATTAATAATAAAATGTATTAAACTAGAAAAAATGCTAAGTGAAAGAAGCCAGACACAAAAGACTATTAAATATATATGCAATGTCTAGAAAAGACAAACTTATGAAGTCAGAAGGCAGATCAGTGGTTGTCTTGGGCTGAAGATAAGAATTGAAATTGACTGGAAACAGTGTGAAGGAACTTTCTGGGATGATGGAAATGTTCTTACACAGGATTGTGGTGATGGTGACACAATTCTATAATTTCACTAAAACCATCAAATTGTTAAAAAAAAAAAAAAGGCGTATACTAACCATACGGTAAATGCTACCTAATAAAGCCTAAAGTCAGTTGATTCACCAGTAAATTAACTGCCTGCCAGAATAAAACTCAACACTAAAGAAAGGCAACAAAATCCAAACTCTCAGCAACATAGCAGCTGCAATATCCCATATGCGATGAAAGTTACTAGACATGCAAAGAAGCAAGAAAATGTGACCAAATACCCAGGAGAAAATAAGTTGAAATAAACAGACCTGAGATGACCCAGATGATGAAATTATGAAATAGAAATTTTCCAAGAGTATTATAAATTTGTTTCAGGATTAAAAGAAGAGCATGAGCATTTTTTTTTTTTAGCGAAAAGATGAATTTCAGCAGAGAAATCAAAACTATATAAATTAAATACATGGAAAATCTGGAACTAAAAAAGTCAGAAATGAAAAATTCACTGGATGGGCTGAATAGCAGATTGAAACATGCAGAAGGAAGTATCAGAAAACTTAAATATAGAGCAAGAGAAAATCTAAATTTAAATACAGAGAAGAGAGATTTCTTAAAAATGAAGAATTTCAGTGGTTGGTTGAAATATTATCAAGTGGTAATCGGGGTCATAGAAGGAGAGCAGAGTTCAGAGCAGAGGACACATTTGCAAAAATAATGGCTGAACATTTTCCAAAGGTAAAAATTACTGCTATAGTTTGGATGTTTGTCCCACTCAAACCTCATGTTGAAATTTGATTCCAATACTACAGGTGGGGGTCTAATGGGAGGTGTTTGGGTCATGGGGGCAAACCTCTCATGAATGGATTAATGCCCTCCCTGTGGGGTGGTGAGTGAGTTCTCCCTCTGTTAGTTGCACAGGAACTGATTGTTAAAGAGAGCCTGGCACCTCACCCATCCCTTGCGTCCTCTCTTGCCATGTTATCTCTGCACATACCAGCTCCCCTTTGCCTTCCGTCCACCATTACTGGAAGCAGCTTGTGGCCCTTGCTGGATATAGATCCCCAATCCTGAACTTTTCCAGCTATCAGAATCATGAGCCAAATAAATCTTTTTTTTTTTTTTTTTTAAACGGAGTCTCACTGTGTTGCCCAGGCTGGAGTGCAGTGGCATGATCCTGGCTCACTGCAACCTCTGACTCCAGGATTCAAGTGTTTCTCATGCTTCAGCCTCCTGAGTAGCTGGGATTACAGGTGTGCACCACCAGGCCTTGCTAATTTTTTTGTAGAGATGAGGTTTCACCATATTGGCCAGGCTGGTCTTGAACCCCTGACATCAAGTGATCTGCCTGCCTTGGCTTCCCAAAGTGTTGGGATTACAGGTGTGAGCCACCATGCCTGGCCATAAATCTTTTTCCTTTATAAATAACCCTGTCTTAGGTATTCCTTTACAGCAGCACAAACAGACTAAGAAAATGACTACTAACATCTCATTAAAAGCAATACAAGACAGCCTATCAGGGACTAGCATCTTTAAAGAGTTGAGTTATCAGCCTAAAATCTTACATCTAGAAAATTATCCTTTAAAAATAAAGTCTGAGATATTTTCAGTTAATAAAAGTTAAGATCATCTGTCACTTATGGATAACAATATAAATGTCATAAATAAGATATTAGTTAATCAAACCAAAGTGCATCTTTAAAAAATGACAAGCCACAACCAAATGGGGTTCATACCAGTGATGCAATGATATCTCCATATTAGACAATCTGTTGTTTTACCATATTAATGTTACAAAGGTGAAAATTCATCATATCATCTTCATGGAAACTATAGAGATTTTAGATATGTTCCTTGAGCTTTCAAAAATATTAACAAATCATGAATAGATCGATACTTTCTTAACAAACACACACAAGTTTCTAGGACCACCACCATGTATAAGACAGCCAGGGGAAAAAAAGAGAAATGAAAAGTAGGAAAGGAAGAAGCAACTATATTGATATTTGTAGATTCTGTGATTGTACACATGAAAAACATAAAAACAAGTGAATTTGATAAGATACGAAGCTAATATCAAAATTCAGTTAATTACTTATATCAAAATCAGAACTTAAAATGACACCACTTATAATAGCTATAAGATTACAAGAAATAAATATAAGAAATATATAAGATCTATATAAGGTTTTCAAATGCTAATGAGTAACATAAAAATATTATCCAAATAGAATGGTATGCCTTATTCCTGAGCTGATAGATTCAATATTGTAAAGTTCAATTTTCTTAAAATTAAATCACAAGTTTAATGTGATCTCAATAAAAATACCAGAGAAAAAAATTGCTTTTGGAATTAAGTGAACTAATTCTAAGTTCAGTGGAAAAATAAATAAGCAAGAAAAAACAAATAAATTCTGAAGAAAGATTAATAAACTGTTCCTGTCCGTACTCCAAATATTATAGGAAATAAAACAGTTTATTATTGACAAATATATATCCCTATAAATGGGCACAACTACAGAGTATAAAAATAGATAAATATATGTTGAATGTATACTTTGTGTATAATAATATTTGAATTTCACATCACTAGAGAAATGATGATTCATTTAGTAGATAACGGTGGAGTGTTTTAACAGCCAATCAAGAGAAAAATTAATTTGAACCCCACCTTACTCCTTTCACCAAAATAAATTTCAGATTGATTAAATATTTAATATTTTTTAAATGTTTAATAAATCATGAAAATACCAGTAAAAAGACTGGATAATTATTTTTAATAATATGAGAGTTAAAAAAACACTTTCTAAACACTACACAAAATTCAGCAACTATAGAAAAAGACTAATAAATTTGATGACATAGAAATTTTTTAAAAATTGCATGGATAAAAAATACAACATGCAAAATGAGTTATAAATGGATAAAATACCTACATATTGTTAGAAAATATTAGAAAAGGCCAATAATTCAAAGGAAAAATGAACAAAAACATGAAATAGTTCATAGGAAGAGACATGTGAATGAATTTGGCATCTTTGAAAAATGTTCTACCTCATTCATAAGTGAAATGTCAACTGGAATTTCTGTACAGTATCCATTTTCCACGAACGATTAACAACAACAAAAATGTTTGTGCACTATTTGAAGGACTATATTGAGTAATAATTAATTTCATGTACTATTAATGACAGTAAAATCATTAGTCTGACCAATTTGGAGAACAATTTGGCACTTTCTATCAAACATGAAAAATGCATATTTCTGGGAATTTATTCCATTTCTAGGAATTTATTCTTATTGACATATTCACATGTGGGAAAAATGTGAACAATGATATTTATGTCATTATGTGTAACAGCAAAAGTTGGAAGCAAGCTAAATGGCCAAATAAGGAAGAGATTCAATAAACTGTAAGATATGCCTTCAATGGAATACTATGGAGTCACTGAAAGAAAAAATAGTAAGGCTACTTACATTGTATTGTTGTGTTGTGTTGTGTTGTATTGATATGTTGCTGAAATATACTAAGTAAAAAGGAAAGCAAATTGTAGAACAATGTGTATATTATGCTACCTTTTCAGAAAAACTATAAATATGTATGCACACATCTCTACTCTTATCCTTTATGCAGATTTATGCTGCCAACATTTGTACCTTCTGGATACAGGACTTGGGAGTAGTAGGAACGGGAAGAAATGGGACAGGCTGAATCTTCACTCTATTTATAAAACCTTTAGTTCCTTTTGAATTATTTACCGTTCATATGTATCATTTTTAAAAATAGAAAATAAAAATGTTCAAAGTTGAATAAGCGGGTAGAAACATTTCAGTGGCTTTCCGTTGAATCCAGAACAAAAGTTTCTTTCCAGAGGTTCAGGCCCTCCTTGAACTGGCTCATTCCCGTTTCTTAAATCCCACCTTGTTCCTCCCACCTCCTCTCACTCCGCAGTTTCCAACTCTATTGACCTTCTCTCAGTTCCTTGCACAAGTCAGTTTTGCCGCTTTGGAGCCTGTGCACTGCTTGCTTTCTGCCTGCAACTCTTTTGTCCCAACTCTGCATTATCGGGCTCCCTCTCTTTCTTATTCTTTTGGCTTTGGTGGTCACCCATTCAGAGAGACCCTCCTTAGGCATCCACTCTAACACAGAGCCCGTTTTTCTTAGTCTTTTCTTGTGGCACCTAATTCCTTCCTTTCATACTCAATTTCTTTATCTGTTGGCTCTTGTAGTGTTTTTCCACACCCCTCCCCAGGATGGTAAACTCCTTGAGTTACCATTTCTATTTTATTCTCTTGTCGACACCTGTAAGAGTACCCGACACATTGCAACTGGGTTGGAATGCTAACATCTCTTGAATAAATTAATTCACCCATTTAAGACCAAAAGTTTGTATTACAAGTTAGCAGGAATAAATGTCTTACTGATTGGTATATGGGTGTAAAAATATGGCCCTGATTTTCAGTATTTAAAACTCTCAAGATGCCAAATATTTTCTACTGCTTTCTAAGCTGAACTTCCAGGCACAGCTGGCATATGCATATTTCTTGACAATCTCCAAGTTTTGATAACCAAATAAGAAAAAAAAACAGCACAGAAAAATATAATTTTGGCTGTTACTAAATGGGCTAATAATACCAGTAATAGTATTTTAAAAATTCTAAAAAATGTCTAATTCTCACAATAGCATTCTAACAGTAAACTAAGAGGTAAGCTAATATATTCAAGATACAGAGCAACCACACTTGTTTAGGAGCACTGTTACTTTGTCTACATTGATTTGTTAAAACATTGTCCGTTGTCAACCAATCTAAAAAGGACACAATAGGCTAGGCACAGTGGCTCACACCTCTAATCCCAGCACTTTGGGAGGCCTAGGTGGGAGGATGGCTTGAGCCCAGGAGTTCAAGATCAGCCTGGGCAACACGGGGAGACCCCAACTCTACAAAAACTTTTTAAAGAAATTAGCCAGGTGTCGTGGTGTGTGCCTGTAGTCCCAACTACTCAGGAGGCTGAGGTGGGAGGATTGCTTGAGCCCAGAAGTTCAAGGCTGCAGCAAGCCTGATTGTGCCACTGCACTCCAGCCTAGGCAGCAGAGTGAGACTCTGTCTAAAAAAAATAAAAATAAAAATAAAAATGAATACAATTTTTAAAATAAATAAAAAGAACATAATAAAATATGTCCAGAAATCAATAGTCAATATCGTTTGATTAATTTTGCCAAAATCCAATACACGGTGTAGTTACAGAGCTGAACTTTAATAATAGAACCAATGTAACATGGTAATGCTTTTCATATTTTAAACTACTTTCCTAAATGTTATCTCATTTGATGCTCACTACGAAAACACAATAGAGATCATTTTGGCCTGTGCTTTTGTAAAATTATAGAATATTAGACCTGAAAAATATATAATGTCATTTACTTCTATTCTTCATTTTATAGATGAGGGAACTGAGGCCAGAAAACATGATAAAGTATGTTCCATTCTCACAGCTAATTAGGGGCTAGAACCAGGATCTCAGTCCTCTCTTGGGCCACTAGACAATTGCTAACTATGCTTCTGCAACACCTTCATATCATATGACTGACTTCTTAAGTGTACAAATTAATTTTAGGATTTAAATCAATTACAATATTTCTTTTTAAAACATGGAATATGGTTCATCCAAAAGATAATCTACATCCCACTACCCATATAGAACCATTATTTTTATTTTTGGATATTTTCTTCAGTATTTTTCTTTGATTTGTATGTTTCATAGAAATGTGTGTGTGTGTGTGTAATTTTTTCACCTCTCTTAAGTACATATTTTTAAATTTTTAAATGGATACACAATATTTGTACATATTTATGCAGTACATGTGATATTTCATTACATGCATAGAATGTGTAATGATCAAGTTAGGGTATTTCCATCACCTCAAGCATTTATAATTTTTTTGTATTGGGAACTGATATGGTTTGGCTCTGTGTCCTCACCCAAATCTCATGTTGAATTGTAATTCCCAGTGTTGCGGGAGGGACCTGGTGGGAGGTGATTGGATCGTGGGGGCAGATTTCCCCCTTGCTGTTGTCGTGATAGGGAGTGAGTTCTCATGAGATCTGATGGTTTAAAAGTGTGTGGCACTTCCCTCTTTGCTCTCTCTTCTGCCGCCATGTGAAGACGCGCTTGCTTCCCCTTTGCCCTTCCTCTATGATTGTAAGTTTCCTGAGGCCTCCCAGCCATGCTTCCAGTACAATCCGTGGAACCATGAGTAAATTAAATCTCTTTTCTTCATAAATTACTCAGTCTCAGGTAGTTCTTTATAGCAATGTGAGATTGGAGTAACACAGGAACATTTTAAGTTCTATTTTGAAACATACTTTTTTTTTTTTTACAATACAGCTAAATGTTTTGTAAAACATTTAAAAAATGTTAGTCCCACACAGTCATGTAACTTCAAACAGTAAGCTCATCACCTAATATTATTGCATCTGCCACTTAGAAGCTGTGTGACTAGAAGCTCCCTGGGCCTCAGTTTTCTCATCTGCAAAATAGGGATAATAATAGTGGTAATTTTATAGAGCTGTTATAAGGCTTACTCAGCCTCCCAAAGTGTTGGGATTATAGGCGTGAGCCACAGCAGCTGGCCTATGTAATTTAATTATATGCTTTTTGCTTAACATATTATTCTTATATTTTTATTATTCCTGAAAGTTTTTCATTATTATAATTTCAATACTTAGTCAATATGCTGCCTAATGAACATAGTGTAATTTACTTATCCTATTTCCCATTTTGGACAGTGAGGTTGTTTTCACTTTTTGCTCTCATAAATAATTCTGAAGAAAGCATTCCATATGAATATTATTGTCAATATCACTGATAATTTCTCTAGGATAAATTCCATGAAGGATGATTACAGAATCAATGCGATAAATATTTTTAACACTACTGACTCATATTGTCAAAATGTTTTCTTAAAATGTTGTGACAATATCATTAACCGTGTGCAGAAAAACAGTTTTCAAGGTCTTATCCTCATTAGATGTAGTCATTTAAAAGTAAATTGCTAAATTAATAGGCTAAAATGGCTCCCAATTGTTCTTTCATTTTGCATTTATTTGCTTATTAATGAGATCAAACATCTTGCAATTTGTTTGTTTGTGGAATATCGTTTAAAGCTCAATTAATCCGCTATGTTTTTTAATGACAAGCTAAGACACTACAGATGAAAAGCAATGGAAAGCAGAGATGTTTAGTGACCCCCTACTACGGTGCTAAGTATTTCAAATATATTGTTAGGTGCATTAATATGCAAGTTATGAGAAAGAGACGAAGCAAAAGTCACAGACTTGAGTGCATAATACGACAAATACTACTTCAAACTGGCTCAGTTTTAGAACTTAAGGGATTTTAATTCTTTTTCATAGTTTTTACTAACCAAAAGCTTTAATGAGAAACAATTAATTCAATATTAAAAGGAAATAATAGGTAGCATGAATAGCTTTTGCATGATGGGTCTAGAGAAGTGTTAAGTAGGTACATGTGGCAATTGAGTCCTTGAAATGGGGCTGGTCTGAATTGAGATGTTCAAAAATACATATGTGATTTTGAGGACTCAGAACAAAAAGAAGAGAATGCAAAGTATATCATTAATGATGTTTATTGATTATATGTTGAAATGTAAATATTTTAAAATAGTGGATTGAATTAAACCTATTAAAATTAATGTTACCTATTTCATTTACTTGTATAATGTGACTTCTAGAAAATTTATAATTGGATATGTGGCTACCATTGGCCAGCACAGGTCTAGGGAATTATATGATATCAGATTTTAGGAAGGAAGTTATAAAATTTTAGTTCTTCAGGAAGAGATCTAAAGGAGAGTACAGAGAGAGAGAGAGAGAGAGAGAATCTACCACATAACTAAATTAAGTAAAGGGAGTGCTACAGCACTGACCATTATGACCAACCAGGAGGTCTCTGATAAACTCAGATATTTATTCATAAATTCAGATTACAAAGAGCCTACCACAAAGGACAAACAGGCCGGACGCGGTGGCTCACAGCTGTAATCCCAGCACTTTGGGAGGCCGAGGTGGGTGGGTCACTTTGAGGTCAGGAGTTTGAGACCAGCCTGGCCAACATGCTGAAACCCTGTCTCTACTAAAAATACAAAAATTAACCAGGCATGATGGCGGGTGCCTGTAATCCCAGCTACTTGGGAGGCTGAGGTGGGAGAATCACTTGAACCTGGGAGGTGGAGGTTGCAGTGAGCAGAGATCGCGCCACTGCACTCCAGCCTGGGCGACAGAGCGAGACTGTGTCTCAAAAACAAACAAACAACAAAAAACATAAGTAGCTGTTGTCAGGACTCTTACAACAGAATGAGGTAGAGGAAGCCAAAGGGCTTTGAAAGCTACATTCAGAGCACAAAGAAGAGCCAAAAAGGACAGACACTGCCAGGGGAAGCTGGGAAAATATTAATATAAAGAAAATCAAATTATGCAATTCTTATTTTGTCTTTGTCCTCTATAAAGAGGAATGATCTTCAAACTAGAAAAGAGAGATGAAATTTCCTCACAAGAAAAACTGAATTCAAGATAGAAAAGGATACTTAAGAGAATATCAAGTTGTTAGAAATACGTTTTCATCTCTGACTCCAGATAAATTATATTTCTTGGTCATGAAATCATTGATAGGCTTTGGCACTTGACTGGTTCCAAAGTTGGACGAATCTAGCTACTAGACGAGTTCCCTGAGAGCATGGGTCTGATCTCTTTCATTCATTGCTGTATTCCAGCATCTAGAACATTTCCTGGTATAGAGTAAGTGCTCAATAAATATATGCAGATAAATACATGAACAGAGAACACAAGAGTGGCCAGATTAAAACAGGGAAATGTTCTGATTTCAAAATGGGGAAAATAAGGATTCTGACTTGTGTAGATACCCAGGCAACATGCAGGCAAGATGTCAGCGGTTAAAAAAATTTTAGAATGGATTAATTAAAAAAACAATCTTCCAATATGCCAGGATTCCTCTACAATTTTACATCTAGTTTAACCCACACAATAACACAATTAACTGGTCCTATACACATTTTACAGATAAAACTGAGGCCTAAGAGGAATTTAAGTAACTTGCCTGGGAGTGATATAGCTTATAAGCAGAAAAGCTGGCATACAGAATTTAACTACTGGTTGTCCTCAGAAAGGAAATCATGGTGACTCTGAACCAACCTGTGTACGATAATCATGAGTATGCTAAACTCTCCTAGTTTCCTTTTTAAATCAAATTGCTAAATTGGTTGATGCCATAGATAACTGGTTTATGTACTTAAAATAAAACTCATTGAGATCTTTACCTGTATCTGAATATATAAAGAAGTTTCTAGTAGAACTACTCTGCTGGATAAGACAGAAGTTCAGAGATCTACCAGAATAACTATCCGTTCACCTTTGCAGAACTTCATAAAGCCCACTACCATAAACACAGGGTAAGGGGAGTTCAGCCAGGCATTTGATAAGGTCTTTTGTAATAATCTTGCAACTAAGGCTAGATGACAATCAGACCAATTAGTAGTATGTGGAACCACTGGTCCCTATTGATGTCAAACTAAAAGGAAGCCTCAGTCTTGTGGCAAGGGGCCCTGTCCTTGACCTTTTTGTATTGAAATATGTGACCAGTGACTTGGAGAAAATAATAATATTCCCATGTTTAGCTGATCACACAATTTTATACCAGTTCCTACACTTAGACGGTTGTATACATCCTCTTCTACTTTGTGGTTGAGAAGCTTCCTCTAGTAGAAGTGATGTCAATGGAATTCCAATAAGAGGTATGTTCTATTTAGACATTTAATCCATGAATTTGTATATATACATTATAAGTCATCTTTGGCAGTTCAGCCCTCAGCCAACAGAATCTCAGTTTCTCCATTTCTATCATTACTCCAGAAGGGTTCTTGGGTGTGGACTAGGCATTCTCGTTGGCATGCATTCAAGTTCTCCTCTGTAGCCACTGATCCTGTTGCCTCTATCCCACAGCTCTGGAATATCTCCAAATAACTACTCTTTTATTCTCCATGCAAATGAAAAATTCCATTAGGGTGATGTGAGGTTAGTTGTTGACATAACTTCCTGCTTCAAAAATCCTTCCTTCCTTCCCATCATCATTTGCGACCCCAGTTACAGCTCTGAATTGTGATTTCCATTTGTGACATATTGCCCCCGAAGAGACAGAAGAGGAACCTTCATCCGCCATCCCCATGTTAGAATCCTCTTCCTAGGCTCTCAGTGAAGTTGCCTCACTCGATCTCAAGCTGCCCGGCATGTCACATTCCATTTATTTCATTTAACTAAGATTTATTTAGCTTTATGCTATGCTAGGAACTGACAAGAAAATCATTATTACAATTAAATGAGATTTATTGAGTACTTACTTTATGCCAGAAACTGAGCTAAGAATGAGGAATAAAAAATGTATAAAGACACATTCCTTGCTCTCAAAAAATGTGAAGTTTAGAAAGATGGAGGTAGTAAGTAAATCAACTTCAATTCAGGGTAATAGATGCTAGTAGAGGCACCATGTGTGATGCTGTGAGACCTCAAAGAAAGAGTCTCTAAATCATCCTGAAGAGGAAGTCACATGAGGAGAGTCTTTAAGAATAAGTATGTCTGGCCTTGTCAATTAAAAGAGAGTTGGGAGTTCCAGGCAGAGTGTCAGCATGAATGAAGGCAAGAACGACTACTGGGATGAAGTGTGGGGAGCTGAGTTCATTTTGACATGGGAAAAGTGTAGAGGCTGGGTGCAGCGGCTCATACCTGTAATCCCAGCACTTTGGGAGGCTGAGGCAGGCAGATCACCTGAGGTCAGGAGTTTGAGACCAGCCTGGCTAACATGGCGAAACCCCGTCTCTACTAAAAACTACAAAAATTAGCCAGGTGTGGTGGCATGTGCCTGTAATCCCAGCTACTCGGGAGGCTGAGACAGGAGAATCACTTGAACCTGGGAGGTTGCAGTGAGCCGAGGTCGAGCCACTGCACTCCAGCCTGGACAACAGAGTGAGAGACTGTCTCAAAAAAAAAAAAAAAAAAGTAAAGAAAAGAAAAAGAAAACCGTAGAGCAGAAGGGAGATGGCAGGAAACAAGGTGGGAAGGGTAGGTTAGATTTGTATCATAGAATATTTTAGACTGTCTTATGAATTATGTGGGAGCCAAGGAAGGGTTTTAAGCTGAGGTATGGCAGGATCTGATTTGCATTTCAGAGGGATCACTTGTGGCAGCCATAATGAATTAAGATGGTAGAGAACAGACAAGAGGAAGGACGGACTGTTAAAGTGATGGGTAGTCATAGAAACAAAAAGTGGTGAGGGTCTGAGCTGGCCCCTGAAAACAGATGGGTTTGAAAGCTATTTAGGAGGTAAAATGGAAAGAATGTCATAGAAATTTAGATTTGGGGGTGAGGAAGAGGGAGGAGGTATAAGGGAACCTGGGTTTCTGGCTTGGACCAGTTGGCTGGACGTGGGTGTCACATGCAGGCTACTGCCTAAAAGCATAGGTGACTAGGAGAATGCTATTGGCCTCAATGTTGGAAATGTTGAGTTTGAGATGCTAGTGAAGCACACAGAGGATGCATATTAGTCAGTGGCCTGAACTTACAACTCCAGAAGAGCAGGCTGGGCTAGAGACCATAGTCTCTATATGGTCGTTACATATGGACGTCTTTATATGGATATCATCAGTATATCATGGCTGAAAACCAGGGTCTTGATGAAGTCACCCAGGGAGATGGTATAAGATGAACAGCATAGAGAACTAAGAATAAAACCATAGAAAAAAGTTCATTGTTGGTCTTTGTTGTCTTATTTGGTTTTGTTAAAATGGGGAATCTTGCAGATCTTTTAAATGCTGACAGAAAAGTTAAAGGAGAAAATTTGAAGATGCAAAGAGAACATATAAGTAATAATTTTCCTGGGAGCAGAAGGTATTTATTTATTCATTCATTCATTCAATAAGTACTGAGTGCCTCTAGCAGGCTGGGAATAAAAGGCCCCTTCCCTCATGCAGCTTACATTGTAGTGGTAAGGAGAGCCCCATAGGAAATAAATAAATGATAGGGTGTGTTAGAAGGTGACAGGTGCTACAGGGGAAAACAAGGCTGCATAATAAGGATGAGAGTGCTGGTGGAGAGCACAGTACATGTGAGATTTAAATAGTGATTAAGGAAGAATTTCCTGAGGAGGCAACAACAGTTCAAAGGCAATGAAAGAGAGAACCATGCAGATCTCCGGGGAAAGAACGCTTCTGGGGCAATCTGCTTTATTCAGTGTCTACTGATTAAATGTTAATCTCATCTAAAAAAAATACCTTCACGGAAGTATCTAGAATACTGTTTGACCAAATATCTGGGCCTAGTTGACAAATAAAATTAACCATCACAGAGGCCAACGACAGACGCAAGAAGACCAATTAAGAAGCTCTCGTGTTAACACAGTGGAGAGGTGTTGGTGGCTTGAGCCAGGATGTCACAATGGAGGCAGTGAGAAATGGTCAAAGCCTGGATGTCTTTGCAGGCAGCAGTCACTGTGCCAGGAGTCCAAAGATGACAAGAAATGATTCCTGTGGTCAAGGTCCTTACAGTCTGTAACAGTTATTAAAACCATAATTGCTTATTTGTTCATGGCATCTTCATTACCTTGATTATACCTTCCTGGTTCAAATCATATTTAACATCTATTCCAACAGAATGGCATTGGAACCTACCAGAAGACAGGACACCAGTCACTACACAGGACTGATGCATACTTATTCAGTCTCAGGTATGTCTTTATAGCAATGTGAGAACGGACTAATCCCTGCCTTTTCATTGTAATGACTGTCAATCCTTTTTTTTTTTTTTTTTTGAGATGTTGTTTTGCTCTTGCTGCCCAGGCTGGAGGACAATGGCGTGATCTCGGCTTACCGCAACCTCCACCTCCCAGGTTCAGGTGATTCTCCTGCCTCAGCCTCCGGAGTAGCTGGGATTACAGGTGCCCACCACCATGCCCGGCTAATTTTGTATTTTTAGTAGAGATGGGTTTTCTCCATGTTGGCCGGGCCAGTCTCAAACTCCTGACCTCAGGTGATCTGCCCACCTCGGCCTCCTAAAGTCTGGGATTACAGGCATAAGCCACTGTCAATCAATTTTTAAAAACAAACATTTTCTTCTCTGTACCTAGTATGAGACAATTTGAGTGTACTATGTCAGGTATTTGAGTGGAATATATAAAATCTATATGTTGTACAAGTGGAAAACATAAAAGCTATATGTTGTGCACATCCAGCCCTTCTCGTAGAATGTCTAGTACAGAGCCTAACCTTTGCTTACCTAAATCAGGGTTGTGCTGGTCTCATCACCATTCCCAGGAAGCTGGGTGCTGCCCTGTCTGTGGTGGGGCACAGAAACCCATTTACCTTCAGTATTCAGATAGTAGAGAAGATGGACCAAGTTGGACTTGGGAATCCCCATTCTGATTTTGAAGTCTAGGCTTGAGATGGGGACTAAGAGATGAGAAATGTTGTAAAGATGGAGACCAAGACTGCTGGAGAATTGAGTCAAACTGAGATAGAAGGCAGGACTTGACTCCAGAGGCTGGGCTCAGACACCGGACCAGATTGAGGACTAGCAAATACAGGGCCAGGGGCAGAAGCAGCTTTCTATCAGACAGCCCAGGAGTGTGCCATGTCAATTTACTATTGCCATGGCAACACCTGGGAGTTACTTCCCCTTTCCATGGCAAGACTCCAAAGTTACTACCCCTTCCCTAGAAATTTCTGCATAAACTGCCCCTTAATCTGTATGCAATTAAAATTGCGCATAAATATGACTGCAAGACTGCCCTGAACTGCTACTATCTGCCTATGGGGTAGCCCTGCTCTGCAGGCGCAGTTATGGAGCTGTAACACTGCTGCTTCAATAAAGCTGTTTTCTTCTACCTCCAGCTTGCCCTTGAATTCTTTCCTGGGCAAAGCTAAGTACCCTTGTGGCCTAAGCTCCACTTTGGGGCTTGCCTGCCCTGCATCAAAACCATGCTAATGTGGGGCAGGCTTTGAAAAAGCCTAGAGCCTGGAGTCTAGAAGGCCATTATTGGAGGTAGCTCTCTTTTATGCATCCTGCAAGCACTTCCACTGTGCATTCCAGATTCATTTAAAGGGACCCAGAGATATGCTTCTTAGACTTTCCACCAAAGCATCTCTCAAGCCAAAGGGAATAAACAGGTAGCTTCAAACAGTCTGCCTCATGCCTGGAATATATTTGAAATCTTTTTGTTTTATTTTAAAAATTACACGACTTTTGCATTCTACTTTGTAATATCACCATTGTTTTAATAACCCTTCCCCCCAAATTCTTGACATAAAATGAGCACTGCAGAAAAATGTTTCATATTCATTTTTGGCCTTATGTAATCCTTGGCACACAACTTGACCTAAGTCATGCCTAGCCCAGACTGAGAAGCATGAACCTACAGATGAATACTGAACCATTGATTGAATGTGTCATCATTCTTTTGAGACCTGGTAGTTTACAAGCCTAGAGCAGAGAAGGGAAGCTAGTAGGTGGCCAATAAATCATGGTTGAATGATATAGGTCTTCTCATGTTCTATTCTTAATCTAGGCATTTTCAAACACATGCTTTTCTTTCTCTAAAATCTTATTTCTCTTTATTTAAAATCAAACAAGGCTGGTTGCAATGGCTCATGCCTATAATCTCAGCACTTTGGGAGGCTGAGGTGGGCGAATCGTTTGAGCCCAGGAGTTTGAGACGAGCCTGGGCAACATGGGGAAACCCCGTTTCTATAAAAAATGCAAAAATTAGCTAGATGTGGTGGCACACAACTGTAGTCCCAGCTACTTGGGAGGCTGAGGTGAGAGGATCACTTGAGCCTGGGAGGTGGAGGCTGCAGTGATCCATCATTGTGCCACTGCACTCCAGCCTGGATGACAAAGGGAGACCCATCTAAAACAAACAAACAAACAAACAAACAAAACAAAACAAAACATTTTTTTGAACATGTATAAGGCACGGTCTGTAGTATTGGAGAATCCCAGGATGAATTAATTTGGATTCCATACTTACAATTTCGGCTTTCACCAATGACTTGAGAAGCTGCTAATAGGCTTCTCTGATAACCTATTTTATCTTCTTCTCTTTTGATCCTAATTCTGTTCTATGGATTGTATACTCTCAGATTTATTTTCATCGTATTTTGTTTTCATTAAGGGATGCTTGCAAAAAGTTTAGTTGGGGAGTGAAAAAATAACTCTTATGTATATCCAATATTAAAAGTTTCTTTTGAAAAAGTTTTTTTCTAGTAGGTCCTTTCTAACATGTCTTTTGAAAACAGTATAGGTTGGTTTTATGGCTATGTATGGGGATCTCATGAGAATGCCATTAAAATAAGCTTTTGCTGAGTTGGAGGATAAAAGGAAATGGGAAAAAATCCAAATGCATCCCATTATTACAAGAATGGTTCCCTCTACATTTAAGAAATTATTTTTCTGCAGTTCAGTGATTTGGAAAAACATGTATTTTCTAGTTTCCTAAGAATAAAATGAATTAAAACGACTTTAAATACTACATAGGACAAATTTTAATTTTCTACTGCATTCTATCATAGACTCTTTTCTTCTATATTTTATTTTATTTATATATTTTTTGAGACAGGGTCTCATTCTGTTGCCAGGCTGGAGTGCGGTGGTGCGATCACGGCTCACTGCAGCCTTGACCTCCCGGGGCTCAGGTGATCCTCCTACCTTAGCCTCCCAAGTAGCTGGGACTATAGGCTAATTTTTTTTTTCTTTTGGTAGAGATGGGGTTTCACCTTGTTGCTTAGGCTGTTCTCAAACTCCTGGGCTCAAGCGATCCTCCTGTCTTGGCCTCTCAAAGTGCTAAAATTATAGGCGGGAGCCACTGCGCCAGACCCATATTTTGTTATTTTGAGAGATTATTCTACTTCATAATTTGGAATGCATTTCTGATTTTCTTGTTGGAAATGGAAAAATGACTATTTTAGGTTGAATCCATTCTTAATTATCCCCTGATACTTCGTTTAGGACATTTCTGGATTACTTTTTCTCTTCCTGTTCCTTTTCTCTTTTTTTCCAGTCCTTTCATGACAGATAAATGTTGGTTGGATAAACCAAGGAGTTGGTACATATCCCAAGAATGCAAATTCATTTTGATATTAAATTTAAAAACATATTCCAAGGAAGGTAAATTCAACCCACCCACCCCCTACCTCAAACACTATGGGTGCTGGTTCCCATTCTCTCTTCTCTTGACCCATCCTCTGTAGCATGAGCATTAGCCACGTGTCAGAAGAGTTACAGTCACTAGAAAGCTACCTAGAAATCAGAATTCCCTCTTCTTTCAATTGTTTTTGAAAGTTAAGTCATCATAGGGCACACCTTCTGAAATCCACAGTCTGTAATGAATGTAAACACAGAATGTGCATTTGTGAACTGTGCCCCAAAGGGTTGGCTTTCTAGATTCCAAAAAAGGACAAACATTTTCAGATGTTGAATGCACAGTGATGTCAGACATCATTAGTGACAGCTCATTTCTGCATTTTGTGGTTGGACTCTAAACTATGTTATCCCAGAAGAAGTGTCTCCATCTTGCCCTGGATTTGGTGGGAGAAGGATCTGACACAGGGAGCTTTGCCCCTGAAAACAGCACTGTGGCAGCTGGAAATGACCTTATATGGTAGCTTCGCTTTACACTCCCTGTCCCAGAAAGATCCGTATGGAATGTGGTGACTTTTGATGCTGATAAGGACATTCCACAGGAGAATGCTGGGGTCGGGTAGACGAAGGATCCCTGTGAACGGTTACCCATTAACACTGGCTCTGGTTTCACACCAGTGAAGAGTGGCAGTCGGCATAGTTTTCATTAGTCAGACATTATAACCTGAGTTTGGCCTATTTTTCTTTGAAACATTTGGAATTGTCAAGCCAAAATGCATTTCCTATGGAGTGAGTGAGTTTGCCTCTGCCAGCCTTTCCATGTGATAGTTTATTATTATAGAGGTGACATGGGCACCCAGAGTCCCTGGCAAGCTATTGTTTTTCTTTGCTAAGAACAGCAGGAAGAGACAAAAAAAAGTCCTTCAGAAAATAATTTATCTAGACTTTTGCAAGGCAATGAGAAAATGAATTGCCATTAGGCTGAGCAATCTACCCTGTATCACTGAGGATAGAAAATGTCTCAGAAGGTCACTCATGTCTAAGAAGTTTCACGTGGATCTTGGTACAATTGTGGCTTAAAATGTGAAGTTCAGGCCAGGTGCAGTGGCTCACGTCTGTAATCCCAGCACTTTGGGGGGCCAAGGCAAGTGGATCACCTGAGGTCAGGAGTTGGAGACCAGCCTGACCAACATGGAGAAACCCCGTCTCTACTTAAAATACAAAAATTAGCTGGGTGTGGTGGCAGGCATCTGTAATCCCAGCTACTTGGGAGGCTGAGGCAGGAGAATCACTTGAACCTGGGAGGCGGAGGTTGCAGTGAGCTGAGTTTGCACCACTGCACTCCAGCCTGGGCAACAGAGTGAAACTCCATCTGAAAAAAAAAAAGAAAAAGTGAAGTTGTGAAGTTCAGGGGTTCAGAGAAAATCCCTTCCCCTCATAAGTGAGGAATGAAGAATGGAAGCACTCTGAGGACACTTCCATGCAGACAGTCAGATGGACACACCCAGTAGAGTGGCTTTGTAATATTGCACTGTCTATCATAGGACACTTCCCAGCTACCAGACACAGAGTTTCTCTTGGGCTCAGCCCAGTTTTTCATCTTTGTGTTGCCAGCACCACGGCACCCTGCACAGCACATAGCAGGTGTTCAAGCTTCCTCCCTTCCCCGTCTATCCTCCCCTTTCTCCCTCCCTTTCCCCCGCTTCCCTCAACCCTCATCTACGGAGTGCTTCTTATATCCCAGGCACTGTGCCCAAGCCTGGTGCATGGTGAATTTCAGCAACATGCATCTCCTAAATATTAAGAAAAAAAATCCCCCGACTAAGAACCTTTGGTTTTTAACCTCATTCTGTGCTATTTTCAGTAACTTCTGGTTTCCACACTAAAAAAATTTGCAGTCATTATTTATTGAGCATGATCTACAGACCAGGCCTAGTAATAGTCACCTAATTCATTAATTCACTTACCCATTCACAACTATTTATTGAGTACCTATTGCATGTTAAGTGCTGGAATTACAGCAGTGAATAAACACACAAAGACTCCTGAAGCTCATGAGTGTCCAATTACTTGCATTACCTGTATTAAAACTTATATTATTCATGATCCTCATGAAGCTTCCGGTGGGGTGAAGGGAGAGAAGCAATATGTAAGCAAACAATAAACATGTATGACATCAGGAGGTAATCAATAACATAAAAATGTAATGACACGGGGGCACTGGAGAGAACTACAGCAGGTCCTATGAAAGCTGGGGGAAAAGCATGATAGCCAGAGGGAACAACCGGTGCAAAGGCACTGGGGCAGAGAGCGCCTGTGTGTTCGGGATTGTGTTTTGGCTGGAGCAGAGGTGTTGAGGGGGAAGTGATCAGAGATGAGATCACACAGCTGGCAGGGGTGATGTCTCCTACAGTTTCATAAGCCACTCTAAGGACCTGGCTCTCCCTCTGAGTCAAATGGGAAGCCAGTAAAAAAATTTGAACAAAGCGGCTGGGCGCGGTGGCTCATGCCTGTAATCCCAGCACTTTGGGAGGCCAAGGCGGGTGGATCTTGAGGTCGGGATATCGAGACCATCCTGGCTAACACGGTGAAACCCCGTCTCTACTAAAAATACAAAAAATTAGCCAGGCTTGGTGGCAGGCGCCTGTAGTCCCAGCTACTTGGGAGGCTGAAGCAGGAGAACGGCGTGAACCCGGGAGGCAGAGCTTGCAGTGAGCCGAGATTGCGCCACTGCACTCCAGCCTGGGTGACAGAGCAAGACTCCATCTCAAAAAAAAAAAAAATTTGAACAAAGCTACGTGGGGCATGATCTACTGCACGGTACAGTGGTTAAGTCCTCGGGTCTTGGGCAAGGCTACTATTTTGGAATTATGCCTCTGTTTCTTGCTAGTTGTGTGACTGAGGTTAAGTTACTCAACTTCTGTGCACCTTCTGTGTGACAACCATACCTACCCCTTGAGTCGTTATAAGGGTTATATAAATTAATATTTGTAAAGTACATATTTGTTAAGTGTACAAAATGAATGGATTTTTAAAAATCACTTAAAATGTACTAGATAATTATGAACTGCTTTTGGACAATTAATCAAGTGACTTCCCTAAGGGCACAGATCATAGATGAACAGGTCAGGATCCACACCCAGGTCTATGTGACCCTGAAACCCATATTTTTAGCATACAGCGTGGCACCTGCCTCTTTCCTCTGCAATCTCAGCTGCTGGAGCCATCATTAATTAGATAGTAACAGGGTGTATTATGGGTTGTATTGTGTCCGCCCCAAAATTTATGTGTGGAAGTCCTAATACCCGGTACCTCAAAATGTGACCTTATATGGAGACAGGGAAATGTAATCAAGTTAACGAGGTCATTAGGATGGGCCCTAATCCAATATGACTGGTGTCCTTGTACAAAGAGGAAATTTATTTTTGTTTTTGTTTTTGTTTTTTCTTGGAGACAGAGTCTCGCTCTGTCACCCAGGCTGGAATGCAGTGGCACGATCTCAGCTCACTGCAACCTCCACCTCCTGATTTCAACCAATTCTCCTGCCTCAGCCTCCTGAGTAGCTGGGATTGCAGGTGCCCGCCACCACACCTGGCTAATTTTTTTGTATTTTAGTAGAGACAGGGTTTCACCATGTTGGCCAGGCCGGTCTTGAACTCCTGAACTCAGGCAATCCTCCCTCCTCAGCCTCTCAAAGTGCTGGGATTACAGGCGTGAGCTACAACACCCATCCAAAAGGGGAAATTTGAACACACACACACAGAGAAAGAGAGAGACAGAGAAAGAGAGAGAGAATGCCACATGAGGACTGGAGTTATGTTGCCACAAGCCAAGGAATTTTGAGAAGCTTGGAAAGAGGCCTGGAATAGCTCCTTCCCTGGCATCTTTAGAGGAAGCGTGGCCTTCCAAACACCTTGATTTTAGATTTCTAGGCTCCAGAACTGTGAAATAATACATTTATATTGTTTAAGCCAACCAGTCTGTGGTGCTTTGTTATGGCAGTCCTAGGGAACCAGAATGCTGTCTTTAGTTATCCTCAATATTTTATGCACTCAAAGAAGCCTTTGCCAAATGTCTAGTGAAGACACAGTGCTAGACTCCTTCCCTAGGGAAGGCAGCTGGGTTTTGTGCAGTTTCTATGTTGTCCAAACCCTTTGCCCCAGGAGTGGGTGAGAAGCTGCAGCAAGTCACTTACAATGAAGGGTGATTGCGAGTAGGAGTGATCACCTAGGTCTCTGATGTGTGCTAATTTCCTCCTGTAATTAACCTGTCAACACTGTCTGTTAATAAACCTAGGGGGTTGCCAACATTGATCAAATACAACACGAGGAAATTGGATCCTATGGAAAAAATGTCACATCAAAGTTTCAGAAGCATTTAAAAAAATCTGTTCTGATTCTGCTGAGTTTTTAAGTCAGACAAATCATTCCTGATGAGTTAAGATTGCTGGCACCTGGGTCGTCTGGTGAGGCACCTCGTTTTGATTGCCCGTTGCATAGTTTCATTTCAGCCTAAGATCTTAATTCCTGCAAATGATTTCCCTAGCATATATGATGAAAAGTAATGTGCCTGCTGAAGATGGATTTAACCATATTTAGCTATTGGAAAGACCTTGTCAGGAACCATCTTTATTCATTTTTTAAATGTTTGTATAGTGGCATATGAATGTTCAATAAATATAATTTTCATGATCACACAATATTTTCTCTTAACCTTGATCTCTTCTCCTAGATTATTTAAATTCCCTATGTTAATAATAGAAAAAAAGGACCTATAATTGCTATTGAATTCCTGCAGTTTACACACTGTGCTAGAAATACCTGTCAAATTTCCCTGTAACTGCTGTGAAACAGCCTCAGAAGCCAGCGGGGCCACCAGCAGAAGGTCTGATACCTTCTACCTCACAATTAATCTAGATTTGGCGGGGCATGGTGGCTCACACCTGTAAATCCGAGAACTTTGGGAGGCCAGGGCAAGGGGCTTACTTTAGTCCAGGAGTTCTAGACCAGCCTGGGCAATACAGCAAGAACAGTCTCTACAAAATAATAATAATAATAATAATAATTAGCCAGGTGTGGCGGTACATGACCGTGGTCTCAGCTTCTCTGGAGGCTGAGGTTGGAGGATTGTTTGAGCCCCAGGGGGTCAAGGCTGCAGTGAGCTGTGATCACACCACTGCACTCCAGCCTGAGACTCTGTCTCAAAAAAAAAAAAAAAAAATCTAGATTTATGGATCATGGATGTGGAAGAATCAGACCTTGCTTTGAATTCAGCTGTGTCACTCACTATACCAGTTTCAGAAATACCTTCTGAGGGCCATGCTCCCTAAAAATAATTTTAATAAAGAGTATAGACAGTTTACTTCTTAAAAAGCAATTTATTATCTGAAAGAAGGAAAGTTCATAGTGATTATTCTGGTCAATGCTTCATTCATGTTGATATTTCCATAGATAATAGTAGTTAATTTTTGGTAGTTGTTGATTTACATGTTTCATTAACTTAGCTACATGCCTTGTAGCACCTAACACCTCACCCTTTTTGAGCAATTTCTCAGGAAAAGATTGGTGATGACTTTGTTTTGTACAGCTGACTCATCACCCCAAACTCGCCCTGTGATGAGCCCTGGGAACCCTTGCAACCTTGATGACAGCAGTCAGGAAGTATATGCAGTTAAGCAATTCCCATAGAAGGGAAGTGAAGCAGTGGGTCACCTGATACTGGAGTCTCATAACCAGACTCGCGAAGTAGGAAGGAAGCCTCCTTGCAGGGCGGTTCCACCACAGTATGAGCGGCCACAGAAAAAGTTACCCTGAGTGTTCCGTGCTGCACCGCGTCACCCAGCCCCACATTCATATGTTGAAGTCCCAAACCCTAGTACTTCAGAGTATGATCGTATTTGGAGATGAGTCTTTAAAGAGATAATTCAGTTAAAATGGGATCCTGGGAGTGGGCTCTAATCCAGTTTAAATGGCGTCCTTAGAAGAAGAGGAGAGGGGGACACAGACACACACAGAGGGAATCCCATGTGAGGACATAGGGAGAAGGTGCCATCTACCAGCCAAGGAGGGAGGCTTCAGAATGAACCAGCTCTGCTGACACCTGATCTCAGACTCCTCCAAAACAGTGAGAAAATAAACTTCTGTGGCCTAAGGTGCACCATCTGTGATGTTTGTTACTGAAGCCCTATCTGACTAATACAGTGGGTGTTGCGTTTATGCAACCTTTTCCTTCATAGAATGCAGAGGGATTAATCTCCTACTTCTTGCCTGTTTTCCCTCAGCATTAGCCACTCTGGCCTCCTCGCTGTTCTGCACACGTGCCATTCCCTCTGCCTAGAACATATTTCTTTCAGATACCTTCCTGGCTCCTTCCTTTGGTTGCTTTAAGTCTGCTGGCATCTTGCCTTCTCGGCAGGTCTCCTCTGGCCACTTATTCAAAATTACAAACCATCCACCTCCTACCATCCCCCAGCACTCTTTATCCTCCTTGGTTTTAAAATTTTTCTCTATATCACAAGGTCAGGAGATCGAGACCATCCTGGCTAACACGGTGAAACCCTGTCTCTACTAAAAATGTAAAAAATTAGCCTGGTGTGGTGGCAGGAGCCTGTAATCCCAGCTACTTGGGAGGCTGAGGCAGGAGAATGGCGTGAACCCGGGAGGCGGAGCTTGCAGTGAGTCCAGATAGCACCGCTGCACTCCAGCCTGGGCGACAGAATGAGACTCCGTCTCAAAAAAACAAAAAATTTTTTTCTCTAGAGGGCTTATCACCTCCCAGCACCCTATATAATGTACTTATTTAAACATTTAACTTCTTCATTAGAATGTAAGCTCCATGAAGGCAGAAATTTTTGTCTGTTTTATTCACTGATATATGCCCCACAGTAGGGATAGTACAGGACATGTAGTAGGAACTCAAGAAGTATTTGTTGAATGAAAATATTAATAATAATCATCATAATACTTAATGTGAATTGAGCAATATGTGCCAGATACTAAGTGCTTTACGTGTATTGGTTCATTATACATGCATAGATACACTTAATGTAGTATAGCTTAATTAATTATGTTAATTAATATATGAATTACTTCATGGTTAAAATAAAAATATTCCTGTGTGGTTAAAAAATGTTTGATTTCTTTCCTCTTTGTTATATATTGTGGGAGTGAAGGAACTCCTCTAAAAGCAGAGTAGGCAGTGATAAAGCTTGTAGGGAAACTTTGATTCAGGACAAAGAAAGATTTGTCTTTTCAGAAAGGTGGTTATATAGCCGGGTGTAGTGGTGGGCGCTTGTAAGCCCAGCTACTCGGAGAATCGCTTGAACCTAGGAGATGGAGGTTGCAGTGAACCAGGATCGTGCCACTGCACTCCAGTCTGGGCAACAGAGCCAGACTCTGTCTTAAAAAAAAAAAAGAAAAAGGAGTTTATGGTACATGTGAACTAGTATTTACTAGTTACCAATGATTCAGTCCTTACCCTGTGGGAGGCACAATCCCTTCCTCAGCCAACCAGGGAAGGAATGGATAAAACAATCTGCAAGGTAGAAAGTGCAGAAATGAAATGCAAAGACTGGATTACAAAGCACGTTATGCCTCCGTCCAAACACTCCCTACGTTTCTCACCATAGCCTTCAAGATAAGAAAGAGCTTTTGATTCGCTGGTATAATTTTGAAGCAGATAATTTCTTGAAAATATTCGATTTTAATCTTGGTTGCTTTTGTGTTTTGTGATCCTTATTGATTACCTATTTCAGCATAGTTAGAGTAGTTTAAAGTTGCTAGGGTCAATTATAATGTAAAAGCCATCAATAATGCTGTTAGATGTTTTAAAAAAATAGAAAAAAATCTAGTGAAAAGCTATGATTTGAAAGTATAACAGCTGTGAAATTGCTACCTTTCCTCCTTCTGCTCATTCATCATCTCCCGGCTTGCAGTATGTTGGAGACAGCGTCTGGGGACTGAATTGAATAATTTGAAGGGGGGAAATGATACACCTTTGTAAATTAAACACAACTGCCAGGAAGATTGATTAAATACAACTTAACTGAAACCTCATTATAGATTCAGATGAAGTTCCTCATCAGTCTTTCTACAGAAAAAAAGAAGAAACAGCTCCCAAATCTGGATGTGGTTTCCCCTGGAATAGATCTCACTTTTTAAGAAGTTTTCCTTCTGTGGTGTTAAAAAAAATCATTTTTTTTTTCTGCTGCTGTTTTAGAAATCCTGAAAAGTCATAATGCCCGATAAATGAATGCCCCATTTATGAGTCACATTTACTTTTACATATATATGTGGGAGACTCCCTAGAGGTGTATCTGAAGATTACTAATGGAAAATCTTGATTTATTAACTCAGGGGAAGCTACATAGACTGTCTCCAAGAGTTCTGTACTCCTCTCTCTTATAAGAGTACTTTGAGGCCGGGCGCGGTGGCTCACGCCTGTGATCCCAGCACTTTGGGAGGCTGAGGCGGGCGGATCACGAGGTCAGGAGATTGAGACCATCCTGGCTAACACGGTGAAACCCCGTCTCTACTAAAAATACAAAAAAATTAGCCGGGCGTGGTGGCAGGTGCCTGTAGTCCCAGCTACTCCGGAGGCTGAGGCAGGAGAATGGCGTGAACCCGGGAGGCGGAGCTTGCAGTGAGCCGAGATCGCGCCACTGCACTCCAGCCTGGGTGACAGAGCGAGACTCTGTCTCAAAAAAAAAAAAAAAGAAAAAGAAAAAAGAGTACTTTGAATAATTTTCCCTCACCACTTTCCATCATATATATATGTATATATATATACACACACACACACCCACACAACATAAACATAGATATTTATGTATACACATACATATATTTATATAAACACATATGTATATTCATACATACATCCATGTGTGTGTCTATATATTTAGTATTGCCCGATTTTGAAAACTAAAAATGATGCATTTTCACCATAAAGAAATATCATGTAATGCAGGAAAGAGCAAAGAAGAAACTAACAAATCCCACAAAATCACATCTCCCCAAGGAAAAAAAATTAGTTTGGTCCATGGTGAACATCATTCTAGATGTCACTTTAAGCCTATATTGCAAAGTAAAATGCTTTCAGGAGTCAAGAGGAACTTCCGTGGTTGAGACTGATGTGAGGAGACTCATTCAATCCTCTCAGTCTACCTTGAGCCTTTCCACATGGTATGGAGAAATATTTCTGTACCCTAAAAAAAATTTTTTTTAAACTACAGGGCAAGCAAGATGATATATAGCAACCAATGCTTTCCTTGTTGGGAGAACAATAAGAGTGATGGCACCTCTGGCAAACTGAAGAAGACATGCCCCGTCCGGAGGGCACAGGTATTTCTCAGGTAAAGTAGGTGATTGCCAAGTGGCAATGTGGTCCCAGTGTTGTCAGAACTTCTGTTCTGCTAGAAGTGAGACATTTGACTTCGTACTAGAAACTTTCTAATTTAAAAATATTTTCTCAAAATTGTTTAAAGACTCTATGTGGTGGCTCACCCTTTTAATCCCAGCACTTTGGGAGGCCAAGGCAAGAGGATTGCATGAGCTCGGGAGCTCAAGACCAGCCTGTGCAACATAGTGAGATTGCATCTCTACAAAAAATACAAAAATTATCCAGTGGTGGTGGTGCAGTAGCCTGTATCCAGCTACTCAGGAGGCTGAGGTGGGAGGATGGCTTGAGCCCAAGAGGTGGAGGTTGCAGTGAGCCAAGATTGTCCCACTGCACTCCAGCCTGGGTGACAGAGCCAGACTTTCTCTCTAAAAAAAAAAAAAAAAAAAAAAATTGTTTAAAAGTGCTGCAACGTAGCCTACTCACTGCTATTTGTTAGGGACAGTTAGATAAATGGATGGGTAGAAAGATCTATAGATAAATAACCAGCAAGTCAAATGATTATTTAAAAATAAAGTAATTCTATAGAAGCTACTTACTTTTTAAAAATCACAATAGATCTATATATAAATAACCAGCAAGTCAAATGATTGTTTAAAAATAAAATAATTCTATAGAAGCTACTTACTTTTAAAAAAAAATCACAATTTTACTTAAACTTGATAGAAGAAAAACAGGCCAGGTGTGGTGGCTCACGCCTGTAATCCCAGCACTTTGGGAGGCCAAGGCGGGCAGATCACGAGGTCAGGAGATCGAGACCATCCTGGCTAACATGCTGAAACCCCATCTCTACTACAAATACAAAAAATTACCCAGTGTGGTGGCACGTGCCTGTAGTCCCAGCTACTCAGGAGGCTGAGGCAGGAGAGTCACTTGAACCTGGGAGGCAGAGGTTGCAGTGAGCTGAGATTGCACCACTGCACTCCTGCCTGGGTGACAAAGCAAGACTCTGTCTCAAAAAAAAAAAAAAAAAAGAAAGAAAAAGAAACTGACATTAAACTGAAAGAGTTGCTAAACTTCATTAAGCATTTCTTCACCATCAAAGAGTCTTCTAAACTTAAGAAAATTATTGTGGAAAACATTATGAGATTGGAGACTTAATTATTACAATAAATGATCACTGTATTTTTAACTACAGGTATATGCTTTAGTTTAAGACTATACAGATTGACTTCCTACTTTTAGAAGATTTCTACTCCTTAAATAATTTTTCCTTGGTTTGTCCCAAGACTATCTTATCAGCCTTAGTCCACTTTTCTCAGAATGGTAGGGAATTATGAGAATCTCATAATGTGAAGTGGTCTTCCTTCCTTAGTACTTCTTCCGGAGGCGGAACCATAGCACTTCTGAATCTTCTGTTTCTTTTCATAGACTGTACTCTTTGATGTTTATGGAATAATGCTATGCCCTTTCCTTATTTGGTTGTTGCTAGAGAATTTTTTGCATTCTTAAAAACCACTTTTCAGCCAGGTGCAGTGGCTCATGCCTGTAATCCCAGCACTTTGGGAGGCTGAGGTGGGAGGACTGCTTGAGCTCAGGAGTTTGAGACCAGCCTAGCAGATCCCCGTCTCTACAAAAAATATAAAAATTAGCCAGGTGTGGCGGTGTGTGCCTGTAATCCCAGCTACTTGGGAGGCTGAGGTGGGAGGATTACTTGGGCCCAGGGTGTCAAGGCTGCAGTGAGCTGTGATTGTGCCACTGCCCTCCAGCCTGGGTGACAGAGTGAGAACCTGTCTCAAATAAATAAAGAAATTAAATAAAACAATTTTTCATATAGAGGTATCAAAGCAAGTGGTTTTTATAATCCTACAAGATTTTGCTGTATTTATCTAGAAACTTTTCTCAACTATCTTTAAAGCTAGTGTAATATTTACCAAGAAACTGTTATATGCAATCAATATTTATCATACCAGATAGTGTGACTCATAAAGTTTATTTTCAAGCACTTGTGGGTGTATCATTAATTTAGCAATCATATACTATCCTATATCATGCGGCTGTAATTACATGTCTGCATAGCCATATATACTATATATCAATTTCCTGGGTTATTCGACAGTGGTGCCCCCAGTTACGTTTTTAAAATTTAATGTATTTTACGACTAAAATAGATCTTATAGATCAGTCAACTCTCATCTTACAGATGATGCAATTGAAGCTCAGAGATCAATTTGAAAAGCTTTTAAGTCCTTCAAGGGACTGGAAATCACTCAAGCTTTTTGTACCCTCACTCCTTTTTTCATCTCTGGTGTGTAGAACCACACCTTGTGTGATTACAGATAGATCAAGCCCAATAAGAAATCTGCTGCCCTAAACTCCAGTATTGAGAGGCTGCTGGCGGTAAGTGAAGAGGCTTTCCACATTTTCAAACCAACCTTCCTGCCCATGACTTCATAAGCCTATGGATGCTGCTTACCTGTGTGTTAAGGTGTGGTAGGTGCCGGCCTTCATGGTCGGTGAAAATGTGTCTGTATTAGTCCGTTTTCATGCTGCTGATAAAGACAAAGCTGAGACTGCACAATTTACAAAAGAAAGAAGTTTAATTGGAAAATTAAACTTTTCCAATTGTGGCGGGGAAACCTCACAATCATGGCAGAAGGCAAGCAGGAGCAAGTCACGTCTTACATGAATGGCATCAGGCAAAGAAAGTGAGCTTGTGCAGGGGAACTCCTCTTTTTAAAACCATCGGATCTCATGAGACTATCACGAGAAAAGCATGGGAAAGACTTGCCCCCATGATTCAATTACCTCCCACTGGGTCCCTCCCACAACACATGGGAATTCAAGATGAGATTTGGGTGGGGGGACACAGCCAAACCATATCAGTATCTATCTCCAGATTTTGTAGTAAAATATAGATTCAGGGAATAGAGCTTCAGAAACAAAGTACCCCTTGATTTACAACTACCTATTTTTTTTTTTTTTTTTTTTGAGACAGGGTCTCACTCTCTCATCCAGGCTAGAGTGCAGTGGCATGATCATAGCTCACTGCAGCCTCAACCTCCTAGGCTCAAACAATCCTCCCACCTCAGCCTCTCAAGTAGCTTGGACTACAGGCACATGCCACCATGTCCGGCTAATTTTTGTGTTTTTTGTAGAGAAGGGGTTTCACCATGTTGCCCAGGCATCTTAAACTCTTGGACTCTAGTGATCCACCCAACTCAGCCTCCCAAATTGCAGGTATTACGGGTATAAGCCACCATACCCAGCCGTGACTACCTGATTAAGAGAATTTCCCAATCTAGAAAGCTTTATCACCATTTGGAGATCAGAAGTCTGGATGAAAGAAAAGAACTACCTTATTTATCCCTCTGAGCATTTTATTTTATATAATATGCTTTTTAAAATATATTTTGACCAGATGCTCCCTCCTGCACCAACCCCTCCTCGCCACCAACACACATACATGCTCTTGTGTGTGGGATTTGTTGTTGTCGTTGTTGTTGTTTGGCTTTTGGCTTTTGTAAAAATAGGTGCTGTGGTCAGTACAAATAATCCAGTGGTCTTTCACTCATCACATTGACTCCTCACTCTCCATTCAAGATGCTTTCATCTGACATTTAAAATTGTAGGCATAAGCATCCCAGCACTTTGGGAGGCTGAGGCGAGCAGATCACGAGGTCAGGAGATCGAGACCATCCTGGCTAACATGGTGAAACCCCGTCTGTACTAAAAATAATACAAAAAATTAGCCTGGCCTGGTGATGGGCACCTGTAGTCCCAGCTACTCAGGAGGCTGAGGCAGGAGAATGGTGTGAACCCAGGAGGCGGAGCTTGCAGTGAGCCAAGATCATGCCACTGCACACTCCAGCCTGGGTGACAGAGCGAGACTCTGTCTCAAAAAAAAAAAAAAAAAAAAATCGTAGGCATAAGCATGCAGGTGACAGTCAGCCGTACCATCACATCCACATGTAACTATTTCCCTCATGGGAAGTAAATAACTTCTGAGTTTTTACTAAAGGACACAATGGTCCAATAGATGTGTGTGTCTGTGTGTGTGTCTGTGTGTGTGTGGAACAATGTTCAACCAACCCTTGATACTTTACACTGAAGAAAAATTAAAAAGAGACCTAGAATGAAGAGGATTATCAATAATTTATTGAAGAAATTCTGTTCATTTTGATAAACATTCATTGTCAATTTATTTTACATTAGGAATAGTGCTATACTTCTAGCCCTGTTACTCACATCCTTCAGCATCTACATAAATTATCCATCCAAAACCCTGGCTTCCCAGTTCCCAGACCCCTTTATGCCCACTCATTTTTTTCTCCACCACACCTTTGCTATATATTCTCAAGGCTTTTCAATATCTGTAACTACACCACCTCAGCAATCCCCATTTTAAGTGCCCTGTCTCTGATTACAGCCTCCAGGCTTTCCCTAATATGCCCACTCCAACACTATCTTGACTTCCCAGATACTGCCAATCCATTGGCATTATTTTAAAACATCATTATTATTTTGAAATATGTCAAGAATCATTTCACACATACAAACAATATAAAGAATAACACAGCAGTCATATATCTACTATCTAACTATAGATATAAAATATTACCAAGAGCATTAAACCCCATTACATAGCCTTCCCAACTACATCCCCTAGATAACTACTATCTAAACTTTGTATTAATAACTACCATTCTCACTCATTAATTTTTTTCTTTTATCTCTCTACAAAATACTGTTTCGTTTTGCATGCTTTTAAACTTATAATTACTGGGATCATACAGACTGTATTCCTTTATGACTTCCTTTTATTTTCTCTTGATGGAATGTGAGAGTCGTCCCTGCTGGCCTGCAGCACTAGTTCATCATTTTCACTTCCACGTGTTATTATACGGTGTGAATATACCATCATTATTTAAAACACATGTTTCTGTTGATGGGCATTTGGTTCTCCCATTTGTTTGTTTTCAATTTCAAACGATGCTACAGTGAACATTTTTGAACACCTCCCTGTGCACAGATAAATGTGTTTTTTTTCTGGAAGACATGGCCATGCCACGGGCATACTTATTTTCATCTTAACTGGTGCTGTCAGATTATTTCCTGTGAATTCCCACCTTTTCCCCTTCAAGCAGCTCACGTCCTTGCTTCTTTTCTTGCCCAGGTTAGATTCCCTGAAGCATCACTAAGTGATTCCTTTCCATATATTGTGGCCACCTGACCTTCCCTCTTTCACTGAGCCTTCCTAGCAAAGCCCCGTCTTTGGCTTAATCCAATTCTTATTATTCTGAACTGAATGTAGAGAATAACAGAGCTCTGCTGACTGATCCGCTGCACCCATGCGACCTCATGGGTGCCCTTACTTCTACCAGGCAGTCCCAGCTCATTCCCTAAACAATTCTCTTTCCCAGACAACTGTTCACACCTTTCTCCTCCAACTTCTGTCTTCACTCTCAAATGATGACCGTTTCCCCTTCTTTTACAATACTATAAAAAGCAACCCGAGGAGAACTTTCATGTCTTCCCACCTCCTGATCAGTCAGCCTGCTGCCGGTGACCCTCTGCCGTCCCACCTGCCACAAAAGGGGAACTGTCTCTGATCCTGTCTAAAGCCAACCCCTCTTCTGAACACTGGGTTCCATCTGTCTGACACCGCTAAAGGTTTTTCTACTCTAATTTTCTCCACTGCTCCCATATCACTATTTCCTCCCTTTCTTCAGGATCTGTCATTAGCATACAGACATGCTCTAATATTTCCCGTCTTAAAATAAAAATGTCCTATCCTCCTGTCTTCCACTTCCTCATGTATCTGCTTTGTTGTATGGTGAGCTCATCAAGAGTTATCTATACCGATTGTCTCTATTTCCTCATTCCTATCTGAGTTTTGACACACTCAGTGAAACCGCCATTGCCAAGCCATTGATAACCTCCATGTTACCAAATCCAATGATCAGCTCTCAGTTCTTATCAACTTTACAGCAACAGTTGAGCCAGCAACCTCTGAATGTTCAGAGAGGCTGTAGCTCTGTTGCTGACCAATTCAAACTGGTCTGCAATTTGAGTTGAATCCTGGGAGTTGAGCCTTGAATCTGCAGCTCCACCTGATTTTCTTCACTAGGCTTCCAAGGCACTTTTCCTGTTATCCTCTCCCTGCCTTTGCCTCCCCACTGCGGCTTCTTCTCTGTTTCCTTTTCTGGATCTTCTTTTCCTTCCTGGCCTCTAAATGTTTGAGTACCCCTAGGTACAGACCTCGCTTCTCGATCTACAGTCCACCGCCTGAAGCTCTCATCTGCCCCATAGCTTTGAATACCATGAATATGCTGGTAACTCCCAAAAGCATATCAACAATCCCCTTTAAGGGACACTGATATGCACCCCTGTTTATACTCCACATCTTTACTTGGATATCAATGGGCATGCGTACCAAACAGGATTCTAGGTTCTTCCCTCCTGTTTGTCCACAAATAGCTCTACCCTCCACCTAGTTTCCCAGACCACAAACCTGGGAGTCATCCTTGATTCCTCTTTTTATCTCACATCCCACAACCAATCTGTTAGCGTGTCTTGTCATCCCAAATTAGCATATGTCCCCTGACTCTGACCCATTTTCAGAACCTTCCCTACCAGCATCCTAGTCCAAGCCACTTTCCCTCTCCCAAGCTACTGCAGCAGCCTCCTAAAGATCTCCCTGCCTCCATTCTTGACCCTACACAGCATGCTTACAGAAAATCAGGCCAGTCTTTTCTTGTTTCCTTTCATCTTCCGAAATATTTATTGAGGTATAACATATGTTCCGTAAGGGGTTCAAATCTTAATGTTCAACTCAGTTTTTACAGATGCATTTGCTTTGGTCTGATGTTGGTGTCCCCTCCTCAAAATACATATGTTGAAACCTAAACCCAACACAATAGTATTTTTTTTTTTTTTTTTTTGAGACAGAGTGTCACTCTGTTGCCCACGCTGGAGTGCAGTGGCACAGTCTTGGCTCACTGCAGCCTCCACCTCCCAGGTTCAAGCAATTCTCCTGCTTCAGCCTCTGGAGTATCTGGGATTACAGGCATGCACCACTGTGCCCATGTAATTTTTGTATTTTTAGTAGAGACGGGGTTTCACCATGTTGGCCAGGCTGGTCTTTAAGTCCTGACCTCAGGCGATCTGCCTGCCTTAGCCTCCCAAAGTGCTGGGATTACAGGCGTGAGCCACCAAGCCCGGCCCCCAGTGCAATAGTATTAAGAGGTGAGGTCTTAGGGGATGATTAGATCATGAGAGCAAAGCCCTCTTGAATGAGATTAATGCCCTTATAAAAGAGGTTAGACGAAGCTTACCTCCCCTTTCACTCTTCCACCATGCTAGGATACAGCTAGAAGGCTCTATCTATGAAGGCAACATCCATGTCTGCCCTTACCAGACACCTAATCTGCTGGCACCTTGATCTCGAACTTCCAAGACTTCAGAACTATAAGCATTACATTTCTGTTGTTTATAAATTATGCAGTCCAAGGCATTTTGTTATAGTGCCCAAACGAATGAAGACATTGTATGTGGAACATCTGTGAGGATATAGACCACTTCTAGCACCCCAGAAACCTCAACCATGACCTCTCCCAGTCTATAACTCCCAAATGTAACAAATGTGACTTCTATCATGATAGATGACCTCCACTTTTTTGAACTTCGTATGAATGGAGAAATACTGAATGTATTCTTTCATATTTGGTTTCTTTCATCTCTTCATTAGGTCTGAAAAAAATTTCTTCTCTTGTATTTAGCTGTACCTTGTGATTTTTCTTTGCTGTTATCTTCCATTGTATGAATATACCACAATTTATTTATCCTTTGTAAAGTTAAAGAACATTTGGTCTATTTTTTAGCTTGGGGCTATTATGAGTAAATATGCTATGAATGCTCTTGTACACGATTTTTAGTGAACAGAAGCTGTTATTTCTTTGGGGTATATTTTTCAAATTTTTCTATTTATTTTTAGCTTTATTTATTTATTTATTTAGAGATGGGGGTCTCATTTTATTGCCCACGCTGGTCTCAAACTCCTGGCCTCAAGTGATCCTTCCATCTCTGCCTCCCCAAGTGCTGGGATTACAGGTGTGAGCCACTGAACCTGGCCTCTTTGGGGGTATATTTATTTGCAGGAGTGGAACTGCTTGGTCAAAAGAATATGTGTGGGCCAGGCGTGGTGGCTCACGCCTGTAATCCCAGCACTTTGGGAGGTTGAGACAGGCGGATCACTTGAGATCAGGAGTTTGAGATCAGCACGGCCAGCATGGTGAAACCCCAACTCCACTAAAAATAAATAAATAAATAAAAATAAAACAAAGCAAAAAACAAAAATTAGCCAGGTGTGGTGGCAGGTGCCTGTAATCCCAGCTACTTGGTATGCTGAGAGGCAGGAGAATCACTTGAACCCGGGGAGTGGAGGTTTCAGTGAGCCGAGATCACGCCACTGCACTCCAGCCTGGATGATAGAGTGAAACTCCATCTCAAAAAATAAAAATAATTAAAAAAATTTTAAAGTATATGTGCATTCAGCTTTAGTAGATACTGTCAATCCATTTTCCCAAGTGGCTTTATTGACTCATATTCCCACATAAGATACGAAGATTCTGGTTCCTTTACATCTTCACCAACACTTTTATTTTAGCCATTCTTCAGTGTCGTAGTCATTTTTTAACATAAAAATCAAAGCACAAACTGTCTCCTGACTACAATTTCCCAGGGCTCCTCCTGGCACTTCTCTGGGCCATCCTTCCCTTTTCATCCCTCCCCCTCATTGTCCTGCTCCCTCACTCCATTCACCAGGACTGTTTCCACCTCTGGATATTTTCTCTCCGTTTTCCTAAGCCTGGTGTGCCCTTTTCCCAGACATCGAAGTCCTTTGCTCTCTCATTTTCTTGAATTCCCTTCTCAAATGATACCTCCTTAGAGAGATCTTTGCCTCCTGCCATGCTCCTATTGCACCCTATCTTTTTACTCTGATTTCCCTTCACAGTACTTATCGGTTGTTGACCTTACGTCATACACTTGTTTATTTGTTTATTCTTGGTTTCCCTTGGTAGAATGCACACTCTATGAAAGCAGGAAAGTTGTCTTTCTTGATCATCTCTGCATATTCGGCGTTCAGTGCCCGGCAGAGGGCCTGGCACTTAGCAGGCTCTCAGATGTTTGGTACAAGAGTTCTCTATCTGAGCGAATTCTTTCTCCCCAGCAATTTTATCCCATCACTTACACTTATAATCATGTTCTCCTCTTTTCTTTCATCCAATCTTCATTTTTTTTCTATTCACTTCTCTTCTACCTTCTCTTTCCTTTCTCCTACTCTATTTCATTATTCATAGGAGGCTTTGGAATTACAGAGACGGCGGGGCCTCAGGTTGGATGCTGAACATTAAAGCTCTAAATTGCAGGGCAGCAGGCAAGGGAAAAAGCAGAGCTAACACTTCTTTTGCAACGTTAAAAATGCATTATGACAGGCCTGGTGGCTCATGCCTGTAATCCCAGTGCTTTGAGAGGCCAAGGCAGGAAGATTGCTTGAGCGCAGAAGTTCAAGACCAGCCTGGGCAACATGGCAAAACCCCACCTCTACTAAAATTACAAAAATTAGCCGGGTGTGGTGGTGCATACCTGTAGTTTCAGCTACTTGGAAGCTGAGGTGGGAGGACTACCCGAGCCAGAGAGACTGCAGTGAGCAGAGATAGCGCCACTGCACTCCAGCCTGGGCGACAGAGCGAGACTCCACACCCCTCCCTGCAAAAATGCATTATCATACTCTACACTTTATCTTGAATTTAGCTGAAGGCTTTCATAGAAATTCTCCTCTCTGTTTCTCTATCCCTCTGCCTCTTTCCTTTTCTCTACACCTCCAACTAGACATTTCACAGACAAATCTCTGGAGTAGAGTCCATTCTATGTAACAGCAAGCCCCTCATGCTGTTGGTCACAAAACCACACTGTCAGAGCCAGAGACAGCTGTAAACCCTGCTCTCCCAGATGGAGAGCAGCCGGAGCCGGGATTTTGGTAGAGGGAGTTGGGAATACATTAGGGAAAGTCTAATGAGAACAAAAGAGGCAGCTGAATATTCCCCACTCCACCTTAGTGTGCAAGAGGGCAGCAGTCCAGATTTTTCATGGCGTTGGGGTCTGGCAGGGTCGTTAGTCTCTATCCAACAAGCATTAGAAAGAAACAGAAAATAACATATATCTGGGGGTGTGCCTGCCTGCCTCTGTCTTGTGCAAACAACAATAACTGGAAAACACGACTTAGCCCCTTACTTGATGGAGGGAGAAATTTGGAACTCTTCTGAGATGATGAAAGAATAGAACTAGATAAGGAAAGTAAAATGCTGTTCCTGGTCTGAAAAAGAGAAATGATTGATCTGTAGTAACACCAACTACAAAGAGTACAATCCAGGTAGACTCCTCTGACGCTGGCACCCTGTCACAGAGAGGGGGAAGAACATCAGGCTTATTCGCATGTGTGCAAATGGCCAAGCACTAATGTAGGAGGACTGACGGGAGTCTATCTATCTGTGGCTTCTGGGTAGACACAGGCAAGCCTAACCCTGCCCGGGCCTGTGTCTGATGGCGAGGCTTGGTATATACTACAAGCACCTTGTCATTAGGGTTTTATCGTGCTATGGATATGCTAACGATACATTTATAAACAAAGTTTCTAAGTAGTGCAATTGCCGAGGAAAAACTGATTGATTTATACAAGTGTGGATTTTTTTTAGACATCCCGTTCCATGCCTTAGGGTTTCTAGTGTTCTCTAGCTGGGCAAGTCCAGACTCACTTTGGTCTTGTTCTGGGTGTTTTCCGAGGCTGTGCTCGCTCTGTGTGGATGACATGAGTGTGTGTGGAGTTTATGGCTGTGATAAAATACAGCTCTGGCATTTGCTGTGGTTCCCTATCGAAAGCCACGCTTTCTCGGCACTGGTTGCCTCCCACTGTAGAATCTGAAAATCTCAGATAATCACATTCCTGGTGTGTTTGTAGCTCAGCAGAGGAATGGCACCCAATCCTGGGCAAAGGAATGTGAAGGTTTCTGGAAAACAGGTTTTCTTCCCCAATTTTCAAAGAGAGGTTTCTTCCGGTCCCTGCCTTCGTTCGAGGGAGCACGTGATACTTGGCACTGCAACCACAGTCTTGTGAACCTGTGGGAGCAGCACCAAGGACCACGAAGAGGCTGCCCCAGGGCCCAGGAGTCACTGAATGACTGAGCCAATCTGGAATTGCTTCTCTCTAGGGCCCTTTTAGTCACATATCTTGCTTCTTGCAGAAGAAAGCATTAACAATGAATTACAGCATATTTAGTCGGCTATGCGTTAATGACAACGTAGACCCAAATCCCCCTTTCAAGGCCCCTCAGGGCTTCTCACTGCAGGTAGAATAAAGCATGAGGTCCTGAACAATCAGCCCCTCCACCTCTCCAAGCTTCTCAGGCCTTGCTCTATGTTCCCCACGTAGTCTCCTCCTTCACTTTCCTGTGTGTTCTCACTGTCAAATTCTACCTCAGGGCCTTTGCACACACTGATGAACTGAATCCTATTCCTTCCTCTGCACTGACTTTAAAAGCTGCTTCCTAGGAATGGCCTTGTTCTCTTACTCAAACTAAAGCAGATGCCTGGTGTTATTTTTCTCTGTCAGTTCCCTGCTCTTTCCCTCGGAGGCCGTAGCCAACTGTGTGGGGCTCCCTTAACATGCATTCCAGTCTCCTTCTCGAAGGCAGGGCCTAAGACTCAAACTGCCTTTCCCAGGCTCCATTGCAGCTGGGTTCTAGAAATGGTTGAGATTCTGCCCATCAGACATACCTGTGGGAGGTGGTTTAGACATGCTGCTACATGGTGAGAGAGAGCTGGATAGAGGGGTTCATCTGACTGGCCGGGGTCCTGGCAGAGGATGTGAGATTCTCTCCTTAACAAGGGCAGGAGCTCCCTCGGTGGCCTAGTTCTGCAATAGTTGGGGGCGATGATCTTGGAATTTTGGCCTAGAGTTGTTTCTTTAGGCCTCTTTAGAATATGGAGCTAGCTGTACTCTTAATGCACGCCTGTCTGCTTAATTTGTCTATAGTGTATCCTGTTGTCCATAATTACAAACTTTGACCCATAAAGCAATAGTCATTGCAATTTGTAATTATATATTCATTTCATACATTTCCTAACACCCTGGTATCTCTAACTAGCCTCTGTGCTCTGAACACTTAACATAGGGTACAGTGTCTGTAGCTCAATATTTATTGATGGGTAAATAAGTAGACAATTGAGCAAAACCAGACATTGCATGTAAAGTTAGAAGAAAAGAGAAAGTCCTGAAGTTGCATCTTTGATATTTAAATCTTGAGTGATTTGAAAGAAGCCAGAAGCTGACATTTACAATAAGTTCCCAACTTGCTCAATTCACCTGGCAGGCTCATCGCTGTGATAGCCAAACTAGAACAGAGGTCCAGGGAATATGAATTCCAACTGTTATTAAATGCAATAGCAATCTTAACCGTAGGATTTTTGTTTCTCAAGAAACATAATTTGTCAGGAGAGATTTCTCAGAGCCTTTCCTGTTCCTCCTAAGAGAGTATATCCCACTCTGAGATGCTCTCTGGTACCATGGAACTCTCCATCAAAGGTGCAGCCTCACATTCTCTCCTGGGCAGTTCCCTGATTCGACTGTCATGCCCACTTGACTGTCAGATCCATGAGGGCAAGAGCGCACATTGCACAATGCCTAGCACACAATTAACACTTGGTATATGTTGGCTGAAGAACAAATGGGTTGTACTGCATGTTATTTAATCACAAATTTTGAGGAATTTCACACAGGACTAAAATTAGTGTTATATTTACACTAATTATTGAGTCAGATGGCTCTTTTTCTGGCTTATTTGTGTGTGCACATTTTAACTGCATGTCTTACACATGTAAAAATATTTTTTTTATACAGGCTGCAGCCTTCTTCCATTGTTGCAGGCTCTCTCTTCTACTGTGGGACTTTCCCCTCTCGAATGCTGAAAATAGCAAAAAAAGTGTGTCTCTCATTCTCTTTCCCCTCACTCTTTGCAGCTAGGCTTATTCCCTGAGCCCTCTCTCTACCTGATGTTCTCGCTAAATGCTTATACTCTCTGAGGTCATCCATTGTTTGAGTTATTCCTGACAGACTCTCACCATTATAAGTATTAAAGGGGAGGAAGAAGGGGCTGAGGAGACTGAAGGGAAAAGGGGAGAAACCCCTCATCTCAGAAAACCCCTCCAGAAAGATCATCTCTTTAGGAAACAAGGCAAAACTGCGGTTGGTATTTCTCCACTGTGGCCAAATATTTTGACTCAAAGTCTGATGTAGCCCATGTTTAATTCTGCTCTGTTTATTGATGTATGTTTCATGAATGGGAATAGAGTTTGCTGTTTTACTCCAATATAATTTATAGTACATTTCTTCTGATACATTATAGGCATATATGACTGGCATATTATTTGTGCATATAAATAATGTATTTCCTCTTCTTTTTTTCTTTTTTTTTTTTTTTTCCAGAGACAGGGTCTCACTTTGTCACCCAGGCTGGAGTGCAGTGGTGTGATCATAGCTCACTGCAGCCTTGACCTCCTGGGCTCAAGCAATCCTCCAGCCTCAGCCTCCTGACAGCTGGGACTATAGACGTGCATGACCATGCCTGGCTACTTTTTAAATTTTTTCTACAGAAGGGGTCTCACTATGTTGCCCAGGCTTGTCTGGAACTCCTGACTGCAAGCAATACTCCTGCCTTGAACTCCCCAAGTGTGTTGGCTCACGCCTGGAATTACAGGTGCAAGCTACCACACCTGGCCCTCTTCTCTTTCAATTACTCCTTCGATGCTTATAACTGGCACCAATGTCCAAGATCTTTACTGACTCCAGGAGCCCCTATGAGCACACAGATCATTAGACTCTCAGTTTTACTCCCCAAGTAGTTGGGATGCCCTAGTTCTGAAATGCTCTTCCTTGCAACCGGAGTTGAGGACCCTGGTATCTTCTCATGTCCTTCCTTCTCACCCATCTTCTTGAATACGACTCCCCAACACATGGACACACAAGCATGTGCATATACACACACACACACTCTTCACCCATCCATAAGGTCCATGCTCCCCAGGGATTCGGGAATCTAGAGGGTGCTGTCAGCAGCCTGTCTGGGGCCATAAAGCATAACTGCCAAGCTGCAGGATTGAAGACAAAATTCCGATGCAAAGATAGGAGCACAGATAGGGACATACAAAGGCAGATGGCACCATAGCCCAGGAGCCCTAGATCCCTGGATCCCTGGGTATGTGTGAGCAAAGGGGAAGGGAGTGGTAACGGAGAGGGTGAGAAACTCATGCAGCTATTTTGTAGTACCTTCAACTCAGGACTCCTCAACCTCTTAAAAACCAGTTTCATCTTAACTTGGTTTAACCAAGTTTGCCTTCAGTAACAGTAATTTTTTATTTAAAAGTTTTATTATGTGGTGAGAATGTTTAAAAACTTACTCTTAGAAATTTTGCAGTATACAATACATCATTATTAATTATGGTCACCATGCTATGCAATAGATCCCTAACACTTATTTCTCCTGTTTACCTGAAAGAGTAAATTTTGAATATTCTCACCCTAAAAAATTTGTAAGTAGGTGAGGTTAATTAGCATGTTAATTAGCTTTAATTTTTCTACAATGTATACATATATCAAAACATCTTATTGTACCTTGTAATTTATACAATTCTTTTTTTTTTTTTTTTTTTTTTGAGGTGGAGTCTCACCCTGTTGCAGAGGCTGGAATGCAGTGGCACGATCTTGGCTCACTGCAACCTCTGCCTCCTGGGTTCAAGCGATTCTCCTGCCTCAGCCTCCCTAGTAGCTGGGATTACAGATGCCTACCACCATGCCCAGCTATTTTTTTTTGTATTTTAGTAGAGACAGGGTTTCGCCATGTTGGCCAGGCTTGGTCTCTAACTCCTGACCCCATGATCCTCCCGCCTCAGCCTCGCAGAGTGCTGGGATTACAGGCGTGAGCCACCACGCCTGGCCTGTAATATATACAATTCTTATTTGTCAATTAAAAATAAGAGAATATTAAATAAGAATTAAAACTAGAAAAACATTTTATTATTGGCAGTATTTGGGTCATGCAAAAGAATATATGTAACATATCTCAGTATTGTCACACAATGACAACACAAATACTTGTGAGGCAATGAAGTTCACATGTCAATGCTGAGCCCCGTATCTCAAGTGCCCCTAACTTTTCATAGTCACATGACATTCCTTTTACAGAACATACAAACTTTCATGCTAGATATTGAAAAGAAGTCTAAAAATGCAGCTACCAGGGGGAATCAACAAGTTGGTATGAATGAGCTTCAGGCAAGGCATAAATGGTGGCAGCCAGTTATGAGAGGGTTGGAAGGGGAAAGGTTCTTCAGGCCTGGGGGATGAGGGGCAGGGAAGGATTCATACCTCCTAAGGAGGAGGAAGAAAGGGGGGCTAGATATTAAAAAAGAAAATGCCCCAAGTTTTATAAGACTTCTCCCACACGTGCACCCCACTAACTGTCTCTATTCAGAGACATATAAAAATTGTGGACAGAAGTACTTCAAAATCTGTTTCGTCACAGGTGAGAAAGTACACAGCTTTGTAGAGACTATTTCCAAGATGGTAATATTTATATCGGCAATATTTATAATTTATGGAGTGCATATTGAGTGTCTTATGCTAAACTCTGGGGCTATAACTCAGAAAAATGAGATTTAGAGCTCAGGCATGCTACAGCCCAGAAGGCAGACAGACAAGAACTTAGAAAATTCCAAAACAGTCTCAAAGGGTGATTCTCTTACTCCAGTTTGATACACACTTCCACTGCATCCTAGAGCCTCTTCAGAATTAAGATAAAACATTTCTTGGTGCAGTAATTTTTTTTTTTTGAGGTGGAGTCTTGCTCTGTCGCCCAAGCTGGAGTGCAGTGGTGTGATCTCAGTTCACTGTGACCTCCGCCTCCCAGGTTCGAGTGTTCTCCTGCCTCAGCCTACTGAGTAGCTGGGATAACAGGCATGCACCACCATGTCAGGCTAATATTTTTGTATTTTTAGTCGAGACAGGGTTTCACCATGTTGGCCAGGCTGGTCTCAAACTCCTGACCTCAAGTGATCTGCCCACCTCAGCCTCCCAAAGTGCTGGAATTACAGGCGTGAGCCACCACACCTGGCCAAGTGTAGTGATTTATTTAATGCCTGTCTTCGCTGATGTTTTGTTAGCTCCAAGAGACAGGACTTGTGTCCATCTTGTGGACTGCCATACACTGGCACCTTACTCTGGCTGGCGCTTAATAAATAATCATTATATAAGTGAGTGGGTAAATGAATGAATGCTAGAAAAGAGGCAAGCATGGCGTGCTGAGTGGCCAGTAACCATCCTGGGGGTCAGAGAGGCTTTGGGGAAGAAGTGATATTTAAGCCGAAACCTGAAGGAGAAATGGTATTTAGCCAGGTAAAGAAAGAGCAACGCTTCAAAAGCCCAGAGGCAAGAGCTCTTGGAGCAGCCTGAGGGTACTGGAAACGAAACTGCATGGCTGAAGCTTACAGATGCTGCTCTGTGCATGGGCTGTTGTGCAAAGTAGAAACTTCTCATCTCGAGGTGAATAAATTGCAGAAGGGCGTCCCCTCTCTAGGCCAACCAATGAGAAAAAAGAGACTTCCTCTGGGATGATTGAGTCTCTCCGCTGTGCACCAGGAGGCTGAGGTCAGCCTCTATATGAGCCTTTGTCGGGGAGCCCTCCTGTAGGATGCCACCTGCACAGGCATGCCCAGAAGCCTTGGGAGGAGGGAGGAGGGTGCCGAGAGCTGAGTTAGATCTTGGTAAGCAGGAGCTGACTCAAAAACAGCTTTTATGGCACTCTAAGGAGTTTGAACTTTGCTCTATGGGCAGCGATGCACTTTTGAAGAACTTTAACCTAACAGTGACTCTCTTACAGAAGTTCGTTCAACAGACATTTATTGTGCTCCTGCTTATGCAAGAGGCACACCAGTACATGCGGTTCTGGGGGTACACATGGTGAGGAAAAGAGACACGGTACCTGCCCTGGTGGAATTTACGCTTTACTAGTGAAAGAACGCATACTGGGGGACAAGTAAGAGACAGAACACCGTGAGAGCAGCTTGAACTAGAGGGAGAATCTGTTAAACAATCCTGCAAGGTCAACGTGGTATTCTGTTTTCCAGATAAGGAAACTGAAGGTAGGGAGGTTTAAGTAACTTATCCAAGACCACGCAAGTGAGCTTCAAATGCACTTGGTGTGATTTCAAATCCCATATCCTTGTACTACAGAGATAAGAACAAAATGATGAATAATATGTTCTTAAAAAAAACCTGAAACATGAATATAGAAAAGATGTATCATTACATTTACACACACTCACACACACACACTCACACCCACACATCCCCTTTATCTTCCTTTCCACTCACCCATGCACATATACCCTAGTGAAATAAAACCCGACCCACCTTACTTTTCAGGAAACACAGTCTGGAAAATATTTGTCAGGACATGGCCAATGGCTTAGCTGTAATCCCTATATGGGCCTATTCAAACTAGTTAATTCTTTCCTGGGGAAAACCATTCTGTAATTGCAGACCTTGTCTCTTAACTTAGCAGAGCCTCTGACAGGTGGATGCCATTTACAGGGTCCCAGAGCTGTGAAAAGCCAGTCTGACTGTCTGTTTTAGAACTCTTAAGTTCAGGTAAGCAATTTTGTAAATTAATGTCAGTTATCTCTCTTTTTTTTGAAGCTGGTTGGGGTAGAAACTCCATGTTCCAAAATTTTGTCACCCTGACCAATAAAATGCCCCCTGCTTTCAAACACAATCAGACCTGCTTTAGGGGAGGATCGTCTGTGCTTTGTTTGAGCCTTGATTAAAATGGAGATCAGAAAGACTCACAGATGTCTCTTCTCCAAACTCAATAAACCCCAGGTCCTCTTACTTTTCATCTTACATTTTCTCTCTTTATAAAAGTATTCATTTCTCTTCTTTGAATTATCTTCTTTCAAATAATTTCCTTCGTTAGAAAAAATGTAGGTATATGCATTTTGGGAAACAAGAGCTACCAATGGTAATTACAATTGATTTTTATTATTCATGAGATTCCTATTATTATTATTCTCATTGCAGTTATGTTCTACAGGATCACTACGAACACTGAATGAGTGAATACTGAACTACATTGCTCCTAGGAGAAAAATAGGGTTAGGTTCCTGCAAACCTCTGGTCAACTGGCCAATACATAACCTTGTTTTATGTGTATTTCTGTTGAAAAACACCTTATGTAACATATATTATTGATTCATTAACATTGAACTCACATCCAGCGGCCATATAACTCATGCCTGAATGAAGCTTATCTAACGCATGTATTTTCTCTGTAAGGCACATCACAGCCTTCTGGCATTTAGGGACACCAGGCAGCGCTGTGCTCAGGGGCCATTTTGAACAGTGAAACCACCAACAAAAAGCATAAAAATGTGAAGAACGTGGTACAAAATTGATGGCAAAAAGGACACCTGTTTACAGGATAAGGGCTGAAACGAGAAGGCCTAGTGTCACCTTGTTTGACCTCAGGTAGGAACGTGTGGGTTGGTAACTCGAATTTTTCACCACTCTGCATGTCCATGAATCTCTCTGAAAGCCCCATGAATATTGATTTTGAGGTTACAAATAAACTTAAGCAAGCAGGTGAATTGGCAAATACGGAACTTCTGAATAATGAGAATTGACTGTATTTGTTCTTCTCTATTAAGTAACGGGGTCTGTTGCAGATGGAAGAAAGAAAGGGTGAAAGATTTTTGGAGACTCAGGAGACTTTTTTGAAAATGATTTGCCCAAGGCACAGAACCAAAACAGTAGTTCATTGGCCTAAGGTGGAGAAATATAATTCCTTGCATCTCCAGCAATCTGTCTGCAGTTCTCTCCCTGTGAAAAATGACTTGCCATAATATACAAGCCTTGTTACTATGTAAGTGTAATTATATTTTAATAAAAAATAGATTTATAACCAAACAATAAGCCGTGAGATTAACAGCCCAGAACTGGCTGTGAACTTTCAGCCATCTAACCCTGGCACTCCTGCTTCTCCGCAGCACTTACTTTCTGCCAGGAGTGGGTGATTGAACACCACTGACCAGGAAGGGCTCCTGGGAGCCACATTTTTTGCTTGGCATTTTTAATTGTAAAAACCAGTGTTCCACCAACACTGCAATTCAACGAATCAAAAGTCAAATCCATGCTTAACAGGAAAAGATAAAAGCATCAACTTAAAGGAATGAAACAAATTTGAAAAGCAATGGAAAAGGAAACTCATATGGAGTGAAATCCATTCAAGACACGTTTTATTGTTTTTCCCATATGCATTTGCTGCCCAGCTTTGACTATTAAACATTATTTTTTTCTTCTACTAAAACTAAATAGTAATTTGACTTCTAGATTCTTCCAGGGTCGTGCTCTGAACAGAAGCAAAATGGAAATATTTCAGTAGCTTTTTAGACAACTATTTCAAAAGCAAACACATGGTTGTCTGCAGAGTTGTAGGTTAAAGCTATAAATTTATTTTATTAAACAGAGAGGAATTGGTGAAACTGAAAGACACTATAACCCTGACATTTTCATGAAATAATATTCTTGTCTGATTTTTTTTTTAGTTTTTACTCAGATATCACTCAAGTTACACATAAATGGTAATTTTTCTTTATAATAAGCTTCCATCTCTTGTATAAATTTAATGTGTTCAGTGATGACTGTGGATAAAGTCACCTAACGGTGATTTTCTAAGGGAGGTAAACTTTATTGTCATAATTTCCTGGTTATTACCTAGTAAAACAAGTTTTTAAAAAACCAAAAAACAATAGACTTAAAACCATAAAGACTTTTTTAGCATTCAGATTAAATAAAAGAAAGGGTAAAATGTTGACATTTTCCTAAGAGATACCAGTTCTTCACATTTTTATATAATCTCTTAATATGAAGCATATAATGTGTATATTATAATTATATATTTTATATTTTATTATATAAAATTATAATATAATATAATAAAGTGTTTATATTTATAATATAATATAATAAAGTGTATATTATATTATATTTATAATATAATATAATAAAGTATATGTTATAATTTTATATAATAAAATATAAAACATATAATTATAATATACACTTTATATGGTAACACGATCATAGTCTCTACCAATACATATATCTGATTAGATCACCATATGGGAAGTCTGTTCATATTTTTAGTTATTGGGTTTTTTTTTCACCAAGCAATAAAATGTCCAGTATCAAATAAATAAGGGTCATATGATTCCCAGATGACATGACCAGGGTACTCATAAAATTCAGAGAAGCTGAGTCAGATCATTTCAAGAGGACAAATGCAGCGCTCCCCCAAATTCAGTAACTTGTGGAATGTAGCAATCTTGTATTTTCTCTGAGCCAAGCAGCCTGATGCTGTCAAACTCATCTTTCATTTCCTCTGCCTTACCGCAGTGTTAGTGGTTTCGTTATTAGAAGGAAAAAAATGCATAAATGTCTTAGTTAAGATGAAATTGCATCTATTAAAATAAAGTTGATCCTAAATGATTCTTTCACTCAAAGTATTAATAGACTAAAGGAAAATGTTGCAAACTATGAATTAGTGGTATAGTTTATGAACGGTAGCTGTTGTGATTCATGCATATACCTTTTGGTTACCTTATAATGAAAGGTTGTTGGGTACAGCCTTCACATCAATGAGAAAATCAACAAAATGTTCTTGAAAAGACGACTGGCAAACTTTCTTTTATTTTTCTGTTCTCATTAGTAGAAAGAGGGACAGGTCACTTTCAGAAGGATTAAAAGGTCAAAAAATTTGGTGAAGGGATGTCTACACAAGCCTTTAGAAAGCTGTTATCAGAGGATCAGCTAGAAAACAATCTTAGAGCTAATCCTTTGGCTGGATCCAAAGAAAACCCAGCAGATTTAAGTTTTCTCTTTTTTCTCTTTGTTTTCCTTTACAGGGGTATTTCCCACAAAAGCCTTTCAGTTGCCTTCATCCAAAGTTATAGGTCCTGAGTCCTTTTCAGCTCTTTTATTCTGTCTCCAAGCCTAGCCCTTCCTAGCTCTGTCCTCCTACCTTTTCCTGATCTTTTCCATTTTGCTTGTTTTCATCAGGGGTTCCCCCTAAATCCCTCTTAGCATCCCCTAAAGCCTAAATGTTCATGGATGGAGAACTTCTTCTGAGGGAAAAACAAGACTGATTCACAGAATTCTAGCATTAAAGAGGACTGTAGAAATTATCTAGTCTACCCGCCTTCTTCCTCCACCATTTTACAGGTAAACAGAATTCACGAAATTGCCCAAGGTCATGTCCAGGTAGCGACTGCACCAGGACCAAAGCTCTGTCAATAATAACTGCAAATTGGTTGCAAAGTCCTTTGGACAATTCAAGCTGCTCTACCTACCTAAGGCACTATGATTATTATTATTATAATACAGATGTTATTATACAGAGCCGACCGCATGGGCAAGATTGCTGCTGATGATGTGTGTGATGCCAACTCACCAAGACCCAGTGGCATCACGCTGGCATGTTGAAAATAAAAAGGGGTGACATCTGCTTTACATACAGAGCCTCATGACCTGTACTCATAGCTGGAGGCATCAGTCATTGCACTACGAGAGGAAGTGGGCTTTGAAATACCTTGGGGTTGATGTCCCAAGAACACCCTTCTTCCGCTCCTCCTCCCTGTACTCCTTGAACTGCTGCTCATGGGAGCCTGAGTAATACAGAAATTGGAGGACAACCACACAGCACAAGTGTAGGTTTGACAGGAGTTTACATAATGCTGTAGGAAAAGAAACCAAATAAAGGCTTCAGCTTTGCTGAGGCTCTCCCCATCCCCCTCACATGCCAAATGCTCCTTGTGTGGCTCACACTCCTTGGTCTTCAGTCAGAGAGGCCAGGAGCCCACCTATACATCTGTATCAGGGTTAGGAAGTTGGCTCTTGTTAACAATGTTGAATGCACTTTGCTATTCACTACTTTTGTGGTTAGAAAAGCCTCCTGATATCAAACTTTAGAATCAAGCACCACCTTGTGGTCTGATGCATTTATTAAACTGGCACAATTTGAGAGCTGAAACTGGAAATGCTCCCTCAGCTGGTAGTAGAGAGCCAGGATCTGAAAACTGACTCCCAGGTGGCTGCCTGGAAGCAAGAACCCCCAAGGTGTCTTTCTGCTGCTTCTCTGGGTTCTCAGACCAGTTAACAATGACATCCCCTTTCATGGGGTGAATCCCATGTTCCTGACACTAACACATTATGCTAGATATGTATAGTAAGTAGCCAACTTAATCCTTTCAAAACCACAGGGAAGTGTTTCTTATTACTTCAACTTTTAAGTGAGGAAACGGAGGCGGAGGTCACTTAGTGGTCCAGTCACAGACAAATGGCTGGGCTTGGATTGACTTGGAAGTCAAGTCTTTCTGAAGCAAAAGTCTCTGCTGTTAAACACTGCTCTGCTGACCTCTAAGGCCAAGACCAAGACCAGGGTCCACTTCAGGCTCTTTTGGGGCATTTTGGCTCTTGGCTGCAAACCCAACCAGAACTGCCAGAATCCTACCTGGAACTCACTCAAGGTGCTAGAATTAACCTGTTCTCCAAGGTTACATTGATCAGGAAGGTTTGCATTCAGAGATGGGGACTTCATTGGTGTCCATGGACCTACTGAGATAGCCAGAGTTTAGGAGAAAGTTTGGCTTTTGAGGATGGGCCAGACAGCAAGTGACCAGACTCTAGATCATTCATGAAGAAACAAAACCAGAAAGAGATATTTGACAAACATTCACTTGGACAATTACAGTGCTTCCTGAACTGAAATTCAGTTATTCTTTAAAAGGATGATTTTATCATATTCATTGTTTGAAGGGGAGGATTGGAGTATCTGCTTGGCAAGTGAGTAGTAGTAATGTGGGCCAAGTCATGTTAGAAGGGAGATCTCGCCCCTGGTCTTGTTCCAGTGATACCATAAGTGTTCTTGGGTAAGTCACTTCTTTGTCTCTGGGTCTCCATTTTCTCATTCGTAGAATAGGGGTTGGACTTCACTAAGAGGTAGATGGTTCTAAAGTACAGCGCAATTGTATGGAAAATGTGAGGCAGGAACCTCAGCTTTCTCCGTTTCCTTAGAAAGTCTGTCCTGCTCAGGCTTCCTTCCTATTCTCCACTGAATCTGCTGCTAATTTTGGTAACATGGTGACTTCCACATAGCAATGTTTACTAACATGTCTAAGGACAATGATTATCGGGAATATATGCTTCTCTGTTTTTCCAAAGTAGATAAATCCATATAGTTCATAACTCCCTGACTCTCCATACACCAAAAAGAAATACAAAAAGTACCATGAAAAGAGGAAGCACTGCCATGAACGGTCTCCCCTTGAATGGCTAGTATGTAATGCCAAGACAGTGCCTGTTCATTTCAAAGCCTCTCCCATTCTAGTTCCTTCCTGTGCTCTCACTCCGAATTTCTTACTTGAGATCGCTATTGGTTGAGCCATTCTTTTAACAGATAATCTGTACTACAGTAGACTCTAAAACAGAGCTGTCCAACAGAACTTTCCGCAATGTAGAAAATGTTACTTGTGCTCTGCAGTGGCCATAGGTGACTATTGAGCATTTGAAATGTGGCCAGTAAGACTGGACCAAGTGTTTACTTTTATTTAATTTTCATTAATTTAAATTTAAATAGCCACAAGTGACTGGTGTCTACCATATTGGACAGTGCAGCTCTGCAATATTGCCATCACATAGGCCTTTGTTGCAGACATTCTGATTTCTCTGAGACACAAAGCGTACATCATAACAGGGCTATCCTGAATACTGGCTTTACAAGCAGACTTTCAAAAGATTGTTTCTCCATGTTTTTCTTGTATACAAGATTTCATAACAATAATGGTATGTCAGTCTTTTTAAACTGTATTCTGTTTGAGATAACTGAATTGTTTCTTGACTTATTTCAACTGAATAGTTGAAAAGGAATCCCTATTTGATTCCATGGGAATAAAACTGATTCCTTGGTTGCGAATAAAAAGAAAAGTATTATCTCACTTTGTAGGTTTTTCCATTCAATAATAGAATAAATTTGAATGTACATTTTCTAATGGCTTCCAGTGAATGAGTAATTTTGATGCCAAACAATTTTTTTTTTTTTAGAAGGCATCTCGTTCTGTCACCCAGGCTGGAGTGCAACCTCCATCTCTCAGGTTCCAGTGATTCTCCTGCCTCAGCCTTCCCAGTAGCTGGGACTACAGGCGTGTGCCACCACACTAGGCTATTTTTTTTGTATTTTTAGTAGAGATGGGGTTTTGCCACGTTGGCTGGGCTGGTCTCAAACTCCTGACCTCAGGTGATCCACCTACCTTGGCTTCCCAAAGTGCAGGGATTACAGGCGTGAGCCACCGTGCCTGGCCCTGATGCCAAACAATTAATAATAAAAGTAGATTTTCACTTTAAAAAGGGAGCTTTATATATAAATTCATTTTTCCTAAAATATTTGATATGGAAGATGAAATTAGGAAAAAAACTGGTAAAATTCTAAGTGCTTTATTATAAATCTCTTATCCTGAGTAAGCTCAAGTGACAGTCCAAGTATGTTTCTAATTAATTAGGCCAATATTTCTTTTTTTTTTTTTGTTAGGAAACTTTTACTTCTTAACTTCTATCAAGTATATTTCTTTTTTTTAATTATTATTATTCTTTAGGTTCTAGGGTACATGTGCACAACGTGCAGGTTTGTTACATATGTATACATGTGCCATGTTGGTGTGCTGCACCCATTAACTCATCATTTACATTAGGTATTTCTCCTAATGCTATCCCTTCCCCCTCCCCCCACCCCACATCAGGTACCGGTGTGTGATGTTCCCCACCCTGTGTCCAAGTGTTCTCATTGTTCAATTCCCTCCTATAAGTGAGAACATGCGGTGGTGTTTGGTTTTCTGTCCTTGCTATAGTTTGCTCAGAATGATGGTTTCCAGCTTCATCCATGTCCCTACAAAGGACATGAACTCATCCTTTTTATGGCTGCATAGTATTCCATGGTGTATATGTGCCATATTTTCTTAATCCAGACTATCATTGATGGACATTGGGGTTGGTTCCAAGTCTTTGCTATTGTGAATAATGTAATTAGGCCAGTATTTCTTAACTGGAACAAAGATTGAGTAACATTATCCACGCTTATCTCAAAATAAAACCTTTTAACCTCAAAGAATATAAAGAGGTTTTCAGGTCGGAGATAGTCCTGAGAAAGTGATACCTAGGCTGGAAGAGAAGACCAAAAAGTCTTACAAAATTGTAAACTTACAATTTTTTTATAAATGTGGTAAATTTTGATAAATGCTTGCATGAGAAAACATATTGCTGTGTTTTAGAATTTGTGAGGGACATCAGTAAGCAAGAGATTCTGACTTTGCTCTGGAATGAGAGAGTGGAACTCCTAGTGTCTTTCCTCATAATCTGCTGAACGACTGAGGTTTTCATCCTAGGACCATATGATGACCTGCTACTCCGGGGCTGCCTGTGCTTTATAATGATGCTATACAGACACTGTTGTCCTATGGGATCCGAGCTCCAGTTGAAGAATGTTTCATATACTTCTATTCTTGGTGCAGAGAATTGTCTCTACTATAGAAAGTGACTTAACACTCCCAAACTGCATCGTCTGAGAATGGGCATTTCTCATGTACTCAAAGGTTAATACATGGAAATCAATCTCAGGCCTTAAAAAAGGAAAACCCAGCGGGCGCGGTGGCTCACGCCTGTAATCCCACCACTTTGGGAGGCCGAGGTGGGAGGATCACTTGAGGTCAGGAGTTCAAGACCAACCTGGCCAATATGGTGAAACCCTGTCTCTACTAAAAACACAAAAAATATTTGTCAGGCCTGTGGCAGGCATCTGTCATCCCAGCTACTCGGGAGGCTGAGGCAAGAGAATCACTTGAACCCGGGAGGCAGAAGTTGCAGTGAGTTGAGATGGCGCCACTGCACTCCAGCCTGGGTGACAGGGCAAGACTCTATCTCAAAAAAAAAAAAAAAAAAAGGGAAACCCAAAATGCAGCAGAAAACCAATTTAAGTCCGTGCTTCTATTTCTTTGTGATTTGGTTTTCGTGGGAGTTTGGGCTTGAGGGGATGTAGGCGTTCCTCTGGGGTGTGATAGCACATTTGTGCCATGATAAGGCCAGTCCCTGTCCCAGTGGAGTCATTTCTCAAGTCCTGCGTCATGGGGAAAGTGAAGGTCTCCCCTGCCCACTCTACTCCCACTCAAGTGGCTGCAGAAGAGGGGGATATTAGGCACCATAGGACAGGAAGAGCCACAGACTCAGTGACCTCTATGCAATGAGGAGGTTGGTCAGAGCGCATTTGTCAGAGAACCAGCTGTGAAATGTATGGAGGCGGAGGGGAAGCACTTTCCAAGGTTAACCAATCCAACCCTTAGACTGCCAGCTGTCCTCGCTTAGAACCACGGCTGATGCAGCTGTGGTTGAAGCATGGACATCTAGTTATCGTAGGAAGAGAGATGGAGAATTCTTCCCTTGCAGTCAATTTGTAAGCTGATGCAAGAAAACCACCATTGTAGCCACAAAATCAAAATCAAAGAGGAAAGTGAAAGAATAGGACCCAGGCAGGCTGTGCAACCAAGCATTTCCTTTAGCTCCTCTTGACCAAAGGCATCCCAATTTCCCAGTGAAGATGAATTAGAAATTACATGAGAACCATACGGTAGATTATTTCTGGATTGGTGTATAAATATATACAGCACTGACGCCAATTGTTTGAAAAACTGCATGTGTTATATCAGTTGGGTGAGTTTAGCTCTTCTCAATGGATCTTTTAGTTATTGGAATAAAATTCCAACTTATAGCAACTTCTTCAGTATAAATTAGGCAGACTTTCAGCAAGTCCTGTGAATACCCAGTTCCTGGCACACAGTGGGCCTCATTACAAGTTGACTGAAGAACCTCAGTTCTGGGTTCTGTGACAATTCTGGGCCCAGAGTTGTCACAGGGCAAATGAGATAAGCAGCATTGCTTGGAGAATGTTGCCTCAATCATTCGTGTTCCTTTCTGGCTGTGATGTATATTACACTCTCCATAGTAATTGTCTGTCTCCATAAACCCATTTAAAAATACACATGTTAACATAATAGGATTGCTAATTATACTTGGATGTTCTTGTTCCTTTTTCTGACTCTATAATAAAGCCTCAAAATGCTAGCTAGGTCATGGCCACCTAAAAGAAATTACATTTTCTTGACCGCCTTCCAGCAGATACGGCCAAGTGACTACACTTTGGTCAATGGATATAAACAAAAGAAATGTGTAAGGCTCCAGGATCTATCTTTTAGGGGTAGGGGTAGGCCCTTCTCCTGCCTCTTTTCTCATCCCTACCTGCAATAACTTAAATATGATGGCTTAAGCTAGAAGAACCATTTTGGACCATAAAGTAAAAATCCTCTGTTGAAAATAGAGGGAACAGGCCTGGTGCAGTGACTCGCACCTCTAATCCCAGCACTTTGGGAGGCTGAGGCAGGAGAATTGCTTGAGCCCAGGAGTTTGAGATCAGCTTGGGCAACATAGGGAGACCTGGTCTCTACAAAAAATACAAAAATTAGCTGGGCATGGTGGTGTGTGCCTGTGGTCCCAGCTATTCAGGAGGCTAAGGCAGGAGAATCACTTGAGCCCAGAAGGCAGAGGTTGTAGTGATCTGAGATTGCAACATGGCACTTCAGCCTGGGTGTCTCAAAAACAGAAAACAAAAAACAAAAACAGAAAAGGAAAAAGAAAGAAAATAGAATAGCATGATAAAAGGAGTGTAGGTTGAGTGAGAGAGAGGATTTGGTGGAACAGAGGTTATAAAGTAAAATAAAAGCAAAGGTATTATGGATAAAATCCATGTTCAGACATCATCATTCTGATTGCTTATAGGCAGAATTGGTAGAATTCAGGTAGGCCAGATGCCATGAAATTTTGTATTGACAAAGAGACCAGCAGTCTAGACTGCAAAAGCCTTTGACCATTCAATACCTAAGGTGACCACCTTTCCCAGACAGCCAGCAGGAAGGCTGTGAAAGCTGTGAAGGCTTTAAGAAAGGCGCGCACTTGGGAGTATTATGAGCTGGGAAACATTTCCTAAAGGGAGAGAAAACCCACAGGCGGCAGTGAATGAAGAAGTTTTGCCCAGTGAGCAGGTGAGAGTCCAGCTGACTCTCATGATTTTGTTTTCTCTTTCTGCCCAGTGGGATCTGATAATATTTAGAGATAAGGAACTATTATGTGATTCTCAGTTTTTAATTTTTCTGAGTGGGAGAAATGTTTGTTTATATAAAGTTTGTCCTGTTCTTATTGGACTTGTAGGTGTGTTGTATTAGGTAACTTACATTTCTATTTTGTAGGGCCCCTGAAAATGAGTAGTTACACTCAGACCTGATAAAGAGCATGGAATAGTACCTGAAAATCCTGGACTTAGAACCAGATGCATGAATTTGGTGGAACTCTGGGATTCTTTATCTGGGAGTACAGGGGTTGAGTACATTTCAAACATGGAAATAAGGGTACACTGAGATACATGGGTGGCCAAAGGGGAGACATAGCTGTCTTTCAATATCTATTATCCCTTAGGTTCTGTGAACCTGAAAGAACCAAGGACTATAAAGAGCAGTGGTGTACAACTCCCAGGAATTGTCTTTAATGGGAGATCATGTGGCTTTATCTTGTCTCTTTTTTGCATCCTGCTGCCTGGAACACAGATGTGATGGCTGGTGTTGATCCTGCTGTGTGCTGAGGGAGATGGAACATCAAGGTAGAAAGCACTGGACCTTCTAAGCATGGTGGAGCCATTATGCCAGCCCTGGATCATTTACATTCAGATGAGTGTGCAAATTTTTATTCCCTTAAAGCCACTTAGATTTTGAATTTTCAGTCACTCTCAGCTGAACCCAATCCTTACTGCTCTTGGAAGACATTTACACTGTGGGAACCTTAGGATGCACTTTTTTTTCTTTTCTTTCTTTCTTTCTTTTTTTTTTTTTTATTGAGATGGAGTCTCACTCTGTCACTCAGGCTGGAGTACAGTGGTGTGATCTTGGCTCACCGCAACCTCTGCCTCCTGGGTTCAAGCGATTCTCCTGCCTCAGCCTCCTGAGTAGCTGTTATTACAGGTGTGCACCCCACACCCGGCTAATTTTTGTATTTTTAGTAGAGACCGGGTTTTGGTTTCTCCATGTTGGCCAGGCTGGTCTTGAACTCCTGACCTCAGGTGATCTGCCCGCCTCAGCCTCCCAAAGTGCTGGGAAGGACACACTTTTATAAGCAGGCATCTTTGGAGATCTTGGTGGGAGAGATGGCTCAAGGAGAGGAAAAGAGGGAGGTATTAGTACAACTGGGTTTTTATAGGCCCAGCACTAGCTTCATAAAAGTTATTTGCAAAAAAAGTACGGGTCTGTGTTTTTGTCTGATGAGGTGGCCCATTGCTCTATGGTAAGTGGAATACATAATTGCTCACCTTTGCTTTTGGAAATTAAATGTATTTAGAATTGAAACCAGCTTATGGTTTTCTTCTCTTACTCATGTTCATAGAAGATGATCCTATGAGTAACACTTTTTTTGGAGACTCAATCATTGTTTCCAGTCTCTTGCATTCTCTAGTAGGTGGTTTATCTTCAGTAACTTTTGCAAATTGCATCAACATACTTGCCTCCTACAAATTTAAACTCAATAAACCAAGGAGAACAAGGGTGTGATGGTGGGAATTTCTTTTGAAAGAGTCAAGCCCATGCTGTGCAGGCTGCACCCATCTTTACTGCATTCCCATAAAAGGCTTGGGGGAAGGAAGTTAAACCATAACCCCGTTAGGTAATAGGCTATGCATTAATGCAATTTATCTGGAATGAGGAAGGAAGAGATTCAGCTTTGAAAGAATTTCCTCAACAGCATATTCCTCTTTGCTGCAAAGCTGTTTCACTTCAGGTGAGACCCAGGAAGCAGCCTGGGAATTCCTTGACCATCGATACCAAAGGCTTTCTGGAGGTGTGCAGTCTCTAGGGATTTGAGGGTGTCGCCCAACAGTCAGTGTGATTTTACAACCAGTTCTCTCTAGGCTAATTTCTAACGCAGGGAATGAGAATGGTCATGCTGAAAAGTGGTAGAGAGATTTGACTCGCCTGATTGCAAGGACCAGGTCTACCACCCAGTAATTGTGTGGACTAGAAGGTGGTGGAGTGAGTAGTGACCTCTGAAGAGTGTGACCTCTCAAGCCAACTGCTTGAGCTCCAATTCTGCCTCTGCTACTTTGTGACTGTGTAGCCCTGGGAAAGTTATTTTACCTCTCTGTGCCTCAGTCATTTCCTCTATAAAATAGGTCTCTATATGGACCTACCTTATAAGGTTGCTGTGAGTGGCACATGCAAATGTGTTTATAAAGTATATCCCATGGTATGTGGCGTAATTTATTTTTTGAGGGGAGATAGTGAGGTGCTAGTTACACACTGGGATGAGGTAGATCCTTGTTTGGATCTCAGCCTTGCTGCTCCCTGGGTAGGTGGCTTTGGATCGCTGCTCACCTTGCCAGGTCCCTCTGGCTCCTCCTTGGCTGAACATGCTTTGACTACACTGACCTTTCTGTTTCTCCAGCCCTCCTCATGGCCTGTATATAATATTTCTTCCAGTTGGAATGCTCTCTATTAACCATTATGATTCTCATGAAGGCTGTTTCTGTTCTCCAGGCTGGGTTCAGGTCTCTGTGATATCACTCAAGGAGTTTTGTACCTACCCTCCTGAGCACTTAGAATTATGCTAGAGTATTCATTTGTATAATTACAGTTGACTCTTAGGCAGCTCCAGGGATGGGGGCACCAACTCTCCTTGCAGTCAAAAATCCACAGATAACTTTTGATTCCCCAAAAACTTAACTAGTAATAACCCGCTGTTGACCAGAAACCTTAGTGATAACATAAACAGCCAATTAACACCCATTTTGTATGTTATATGTATTATATACTGTATTCTTATGATAAAGTAAGTTAAGAAAAGAAAATGTTATTTAAAAAATCATAAAGAAGAGAAAATATATTTGCTATTCAGTAAGTGGAAGTGGATCATCTTAAAGGGCTTCATCCGTGATGTCCTCACATTGAGTAAAGAGGAGGAGGAGGAGGAGAGGAGGAGGAGGAGGAGGAGAGGAGGAGGAGGAGGGGCTGGTCTTGATGTCTCAGGGGCGGCAGAGGTGGAAGAGGTGGAGGAGGTGGGAGGGAGGCAGGAGAGGCAGGCACACTGGGGGTAACTATTATTAATGAAAATCCTTGTGCAAGTGGATCTGCACAGTTCAACCCATGTTATTCAAGGGTCAACTGTATTCCTATCTGTACTCAGGACTGTGAGTTCCAAGCATGGTTAACAAGTCCTGTGTCTTTCAACCCAATGTCTATACTGGTGCCTGGCTCAGAGGGGACAAAACAAATACATGAATGCTGAATTAATACATACATACATAAAATGAATGTGAGAAGAATTTCCTTTTCTGATGGTTTTATAAACTATGAGCTACTTGAAGGCAGATTACATTTCATCTATAGTTATATCCCCAAAAGCCTATAGTTAGCAAGAAATTAATGTATTTGTCATGTGGATGAGTAAACTGTACCATAGTGATTCGAATTTAATTCACTAACATATAACATTCTGATTTGAAAATAAATAAAATTACTTTAGAAAAGCTTATGTTGGATATAACCTAATTTATACAAATATTCTTTTTTTATTTGTCAATTGAGAAAGTATTTAGTTACTCGTGATGGAAACTTTCTCTTTTTTTATATTAGAGATGTTATCTCACTGCAGACTATAAGTTAAGACTTGTAGCACAGCCATTCTGATAGATTTTGTTCTCAGAATTCATTTATCCTCTAAAAAGTATTGAGGATCCCAGGAAGCTTTCATTTGTGTGGGTTACATTTACTATATCAAAGAATATATTTACTATATCAAAGAAATATTTTAAAAACATTTAAAATATTTATTTGTTTAAAGCAATAATAAACTCAATACAAATTAAATAAATTAACTAATTTTAATAAAATTAATTATATTTTCCTATGGATCTTTTGCCCATGCATGATTTTGCCAGGTAATGCATCAATCATTTGGAAAATATTAATTCATTGAGTGAATATTTGACCTTTCAAATGTTGGCTATACAATATTTTGAAAAATCACATTTGTTACTATCACTGATCTCATTAGAAAAGTCTTTGAGGCATTGGGAAGCTGTCTGGTTTACACAAGCAGGTACAAGTTTACCAAAATTCAAAGTTTTGCTTGAAGGTTCAAATGTTATTTTCAGCAACGAATAATGTTTGTTATTTTCCTTGAAGTGACAGGCTCTCTATTTAGTCTCAAGAAAAAGTTTGTCAAATAGCCAAGGCTGAATAACAATAGTTTGCAGTCAGTTGTCTTTTAGGGAAAAAATGCTTCCATGCAAAAATAGGCTATTTCAGCCTACAACTCATAGCAAGTGTGTAAGTATTAGAGTATACTGTAAGTGCTTCATGCTCACAATTACTACAAATGTCAACATGGTAAAGAAGGCAAATAACGTCTTAATATTATTTAAAAAATAGTTTTGATCTTATGCTCCTGCAAAAGGATCTTAGAGAAGCCCAGGGGTCCACAGACCACACTTTGAGAGCCGCTGCTCTAGGGTATTCTAACATTAAATTACAAGACTCATTGACCCCACACAGATGAAATTTACAACAATATGGCTTTTAATTAATCAACTTTTCCTGCAACTTCTACCCTATCAGGAACAAATAAGCCAAGAGCAAAATGTTACAAAAGATTGTGATAACTGAGTTTAAGATCAATGTACGAGAACTGTCTTATCAATATCACCCATAATTATTAGTGTAAAGAAGTCACAAAATGTCTTTTAAAAAATTCTACCCTGAAAATATTTCAGAATGTAAGAAGTGGCAATAATTATAATAAGTGGCTACAAACTCCACTTTGAATGCATTTTCAGCAGCTTTTTTCCTAAACATTTATCACGTATTATTTTATTTTAACATGTCTCTGTGATATGGGTACATAGGACTTGATATCATCTCTGTTTTAGAGATGAGGAAACTGAGAAAAAAATGACTAGATTCACCCACCATTGCCTAGGAAACTGGCGGTGGAACTGGGTAGCTCTCCTGATGAATATTTCAATGCCTTTTCTTTTTCACCCTGTGGAATCACTTGGCCAGCCAGACTCAGCAAACACGTTTCATGTCAATAAAAAGAGAATATTCCAATGAGCCCAGTGACTTTGGAAATCCCTAAAGTGGAGTGTTCCAAGTAACTGAAAACCTGGGGGGAAAGAGTGACCTCTGTGAGCTTTTCCAGCTTCCACTTCTGCTGATGGGTGGAAGTTCATAGGAAGGAAGACATTCTCTTAGCCTGGGCTATGTCCCTTGCTAAATTTAGGATTCCAGATTATAGAAACACCCTCAGATGACCAAGCCCTCCACCCCTGATGTTCTGGGAGCTCTCATTCTGAAAGAACAAATGCATTTTTCCTTCCCCTTTGGAACCAGATAGTAAACTTGGCCAAGGAGCCTGCCAGCCACTGGCCTGGTGTGAGTGAGTGGGGTGATTATTTGGAGATTTAGGCAGAAAGTGTTGAAGGGAAAGAGGCTGTGGGTGGGGAGGGACAATCAGCTAAAGAGATGGGAAGTATCATCCTCTTGTCTTGTTAAAGCAGAAAACTGTTTAAAATGTCATGCCCATATTTACTAGCTGTTTATAGGTAACAGAATCTCCTCTGTGTGTCGTCAGTGAGTAATTGCCATAACAATGTTGTATTTACATGACCCATATTTTACCCCACAAAGGCAGAGAAGATCCTTAAAGAAATTGCATATACCTCTATGGTGTGTAGAGAAGAACAGCTGCTTTCCTCCCTCTTCCTACTCATATGGCTCTTGAAAATGCTCTCAGCCTCTTCCTTTAATAATTTCCATCATGTCCTCCTCTGCCCTTTAGATTGTAGCACACGATTTAAATGGAAGGTGCAGGGAAGTGTTTCTGAGTGGTTTGCCTGACTCAAGCCACCTGGTGGGCAAGGGGCAGCATCTGAGAGGCTTCCTTCCACAGCCCGCCTCTTAGGGCCCAAGAGATAACAAGACCACATGCAGCTCAGATGCAATCACTTCTTAACATAGCTCAGAGGCAATCACTTCTTAACATTTGAGAAAACTTGCCTGGGTGAAAAACCATTTTCCCAGACAGCAATTTGCCTAGGAGTTGCAATGACATTGTCTTTCTGTGCCAAGAATATCAATCAGTTCAAAAGTCCCTCTCCTGAGAGCCACTGGCAAGATCCTGGGCGTGCACACACAAGCAGTATCTGTAACCCTGCTGCTTGGGGTTAGTGTAAATGTCAAGGCTGTGTATTAGAATTAATTGTTCTGCCACTATCTGCTCTTCCTTTCTCTTTTCCTCCTTTTGTATAATCGTTTGCCTTTTTTTTTCTCCCTCGATCTTGTTGTTTCTAGCTTTATTGTTCTCAGTTTAGACTTGTGAGCCTTTGGGATGAAAAGTGATGTAAACTCTTGGAGAGGAAAGAACCCTGGATCATAGGCCAGAAGGCCTAAGTCCCAGTAACACTCTCATCCGTTAGTCCAGTCACATCACTAACCTATCTCCACCTCAGTTTTCCATCTCAAACTGGAGATAATAATCTGTATATTGATTGCTTTTTGAGACCCTTGTAAGAATCAATTGTTATTATGTAGCACTATTGAACATATGTACTTACTTTCATTACAGTACCTAGAACACCAGCTAGTGCATAGAAGGTGCCCAATAAACATTTGTTGAATTGATGACTATATTTGGAAATATTTTGTAAACTATGAAATCACTACACACATGTTTTTATGACATTTTTCATAGATGATGCTACTAGCCTGCAGTGCTCTAGGCCTTGGGTTGTGTCTTGTCATGTCGGCTGTGTAAACAGGCTGGCTCCTGCCATGCCACAGGTGGCTGGGGATCTCTTTCCAGGCCACAGCATCTACTTGGTTTCTGTGATTCCAATTCCTGTGTGGATCTGACCCACTAACTAGAAGTTTGCGCTAAGTGAACCTTGGTGTGTAAATGTTGGTGCTGGAGGGTGAATGTGGGTACCTTGAAGCCCTGGTCTTATAAATGAGTAACATGTTTCTGTATAACATGGAATGATACAGATGATGGCATTGAGAATCCTGCTGGTCTCGGAAATTTCAAGGGAGTTCTAGACCAGATCAAACAAGAGACAATGGAAGATACCAGTATTTGGCAAAGGAAAGACATTTAGAATTTAGAAGTATTCTAAAGGATGATTTCTTTTTTTTTTTCTTTCTTTCTTTTTTTTTTTTTTTTTTTTTGGAGACAGTCTCACTCCTTCACCCAGGCTGGAGTGCAGTGGCGTGATCTCAGCTCACTGCAAACTCTGTCTCCTGGGTTCAAGCGATTCTCATGCCTCAATCTCCTAAGTAGCTGGGATTACAGACATGCGCCACCACGCCGGGCTAATTTTTGTATTTTTAGTAGAGATGGGATTTCACCATGTTGGCCACGCTGGTCTCAATCTCCTGACCTCAGGTGATCCACCTGCTTTTGCCTCCCAAAGTGCTGGGATTACAGGTGTCAGCAACCACACGCAGCTCTAATGGATGATTTCTATTTACATCCTTCTTATAGACTGAGACAGATCCCCCTAAAATTCATGTGTTGGGACCCTAGCCTCTGTATTTGGAGACAGAGTCTGTGAGGAGATGTTAAAGGATAAATAAAGTCATAAGGTTAGGGTCTTAATCCAATGAGGCTGGTGTCCTTATAAGAAGAAAAGGAGATACTAGATCTCTCTTTCTCCCTCCACTCTTGTCTTCTGCTCCACAAAGGAAATATCAATGGATATTCCTCACAAGTCTAAACTGAGAACAGTAAAGCTAGAAACAACAAGATCGAGGGAAAGAAAAGGCAAAAGATTATACAAAAGGAGGAAAAGAGATAGGAAAAGCATAGTGGCAGAACAATTAATTCTAATACACAGCCTTGACATGGAGCAAGAAGGAGGCTGTCTGCAAGCCATGAAGAGAGAGCTCTTACCAGGAACTGAATCGGCCACCTTGGTCTGAAACTTCTAGCTTCTAGCTTCCAGAACTGTGTGAAAATAAATGTCTGTGCCTTAAGCTACCCAGCCTATGGTATTTATTATGGCAGGCCAAGCTGACTAATACAACCCTCACCTCCTCTGTCTCATTTCTGGGTAGCTATCCTGAAATTCATGATTCTGACATTCTCCTATATGCAAAGAACATTGAAGTCTATGAGCAGACTGAATGTATATGTCTAAATATCCTTGTGAACTAAGCATGATGGAAGAGAGGAGACAAGAATAGCCACACTCCACTGAATGACAAGTCAAAGATTGCAATGAGCAACTCTTTTACCTGGCTTGCCTGAGATAATTTTGATACATTACACTAAGCTTCAGGAGAGTGAAAGGGTGTAGGTTATGTCAATTAGCTTGTGGACTTTTTGCAAACCATGTGATTAAGGCTGGTGACATTCTGCATCAGGTTTTAACAAAACAAGGTTTCTAAAGTTAGTTTGGATACATTGATTTTTCTTACACCACCACTGTTGCTAGTTGGGTATATTAAGTGATATTATAGCATACGTGCAAAGGGAAATGATTATTTGGGACAGTGAAAAAAACTGTATATTCAATGTGATGATAGAACAAGTGTGAAGGCTGAGTTTGGCAATTTTGGGTTTGATCCTCAACCTCTAATTTTTGCAAGTTTGGAGCCATGATCTTCTAATTATTTAGCACAAATGTTGAAGAAGTTAGACACAAATGAGTCAAAGTTAATCTATCACATTCATTTTTAAACTTTAGTGTTTCTATGAATCATCTGAAGAGCTTGTTAAGAGCCAGTGAGTTTTCGGGTGAGCCTCAGATTTTGTATTTCTAACAAGTTTCAGCTCATATCAATGCTGCTGGTCCATGAACTGTACTTGGAGTAGCAAGGATCTAGAATACTGTGTGTCAGATGGAAAGATGAGACATTTAGTTTTTCTCCATGAATAAAATACGTGAGATTCAACTGTTGCTTTGTTTTGCAATACTATGGGATTCCTCTCTAAAAATTGTTCAAAATCTCATGCTTTGAAGAACTACATTATATGGATTGTAAAATGACTTAAGCAGGAAGTACTTGACATGAATATGTGCTTAATAAATATTGATTGGTTGATTTCTGAAAAGTAGATCTTCAGAGATGTAAGGCAAATGTCTTCCAGTAATATAAAATGATACATCCCTACTTAGGGGATCTAGGATGCTATGCATTGAGACAAGACAAAGTTTATGGTGTCAGAGCCAGAGAGAAAGCAAGGGTGATCTGAGCCCAGCAACACAGCTCCATTGTAAATAGCTGCTCACCTGGGGCAAACAAGTGCTATAGGATATGATAAGGAAGGTTCATTTCATCATTTTATGGCTGTGTACATCCTGGAGTGAAGGAAAGGCATTAACGAGTTTGGTAAGAGCTGGCAAAGCCAGAGTCCTTATTTGCAAGGCATGGTAAGCCTATGGGTGTGTTATCATTTACTTCATTGTGATTTACGACAGTCCTACTGCTGATTATACCTCTCTGACCCCCTCAGGGTTGGTTGGAAGTTGTTTAGATCCTACCTTTTTCTCTCCAGACACCAGAGACTGCCAGAACCACGCTCACCTGTGAGTGAAACAAGCAAATTCCCTGGCATCAAGGGGAAGTTAAAACTTCTATTTGAAACAACTTTTTGAACACTTTTGGCATATGTGGAAATGTACATATACACACACGCATATGTATGTGGATTATGTAAGGGGTTATAATAAAGTAAAATTAAGATTCAAGAGCATTTTTGACTTTAAGAAAAATATTCCTGACCCATGCACTCTTATGTAACCTGATCCCTCAGAAGCATACAAGATAAATCAAATTTACAGAGTTACAAAAAAGTGTTCACTGACTGCTGGAAAATATATGATGTCATATTTGTGGTTAATGGCCTAAGTTAGATTAAAAAGATGCACTTTTTTGTATTTTGATGATTTGTCCTTTGTTTTTTCTGTTTTAGTTAGACTTGACCATGGAATTGATACTCTGTCAATAAATTCTTTATCTTTCACTGTTGCCACTGGTAAGAATAGCTAAAGGTTTTGCAGGATAATTGCCTTGAAGAAGGTATCTTCAGAATCCATTTATTTCAATTATTTGCCAATATTATTCAAAATTTCTTGTCTTCTTATCACTATCAATGAGTAGAAATTTTCAGGATTGCTAAGAGTTTGTTATGCTTTGTGGGAGAAATTCTGTGTAAGATTGAGTTTTGAAAAAATTCCATGTTGCATAATCTGGGGAAATGCCTGTTCATGCCTATATCTGAGCAAACTTTGTAACTTGTTTATAAAGGAAAAAAGATTTGAAATTTAAAATTTGGCAATTAGGAGCACATTAACTCTCCTTGTCTACAATTTTTATCGCACCATAAAAATACACTTTTAAGAAAAAAAATAGCATTCCTTTTAAAGGTTTCTTTCAAAAGATATCCCTTTAGGAGATGGGAGTTAAATAACAAAATCAATTACTCTCTTTGTTGGGTAAGTCAAGGACTCCCTAAGCCCAAATTTTGAGTGCCTCTTGGCATCTTTGTATATAACAACTGGAGGTTATCCACACATTAATTGCCTCTAATACTATTCAAATGCATAATCAAATCCAACAAGTCATTTCTGCTTAACTGATGCAACACAGATGATGCCATGCTTCCTGAGACTGAAAGGTTTGCTAAGGAAATTGCCTCTAAAATTATGGCAAGTATAAAATAAAGGACTATTAGAGGAGATACCACCTTAGCTGCTGTACCTAGGGATACTGATAAAGGATATATCACAACACTCATTCATAACTGAAAGGATATTAAAATCCAAATAAAGCAAAAGACCAAAGATAACTTAAGCCATACCCCAAAAAGCTAATTAACTAATAAGTTATTTTACTGTTTAACAGAATGAAGAGATTAATGGTAGACAACTCTTTAGCTGGAATATTGGAAAGACTTACACAATGAAAGCAATAAGTGACATAGATCTTGCTAAAAATCAATAAAGCAAGTAAAGCCAGTTGGCACACTATTTAACGTGAATCAATGTGAATGATATCTCATCAAACTTGAGGTGTCATTCAAGAAGGAATACTTGCTATTTCTGTCTCCTAAATTTCCAAGAAGACATTACAAGTGTCTAAAATGAGCACACTCTTAGGTGACCCTGATAGAAGTGCATTTTATATTTACTTGTGAAACGTGCCCCAAAAGTTAAAGAAACCAATAACTCATATAAATTCTTGGGTTTGCAGGATGTCAGATTAAAAACAAGAAACAGCTTCCTGAAACACTAAAACTCCCTCCACTTGTAAGACAACAAAACTGGCTGAAATCTTTTCGAACCGATACGGCCAGCTGGAGTTTGCACAGAACAAGCTTGCTGATGTCACAGCCTGGATTTCCACTGCACGTTTTATATTAACTCCTCCCCAAATTTGCACATGGGACCTATAAGGAAGCACAAAGGGATGACTGTGCGTGCCTGAGGGTCTTTCAGACCTCTCCTTTCCTCCCACCAATTACCTGCTAATCTCAGAATCCACCCTCTTAAACCTTTTCTAGTAAAAGTATTGCCTTAAAACCAGCACAGAGAGATGGATCTGAGCTTGACTCATATCTCCTTGTAAGTCAACTTGCAATAAATAGCTTTTCTTTCTCAAAAACTTGGTGTTATATTATTGGATTCTAGAACATTGGGCAGCAAGTTCCTTTTGCTTGATAGCACTTTTGTATAAATGTGTATGTGTAAGGATGTAATTAACAGCATCCTTTTAGGTTTCTGCATTTATATTAGGCCAAATCGATATACCTTTTAGATATTGCTGGACTTGGATTCAATTTGCTTTGTTCTCCATTTCATTTACTAAAATCTGGGTCTAATGTAAGAGTTCTTGGTATATTACATAAACATAAATCATTGCTGCTGAAGTTCTAATAGGACTCTGTTGCTACTTGCAGAAACCAGCTTTGAGGTAGTCAAGGAAAGAGGATAAAGAAAAGAACAAAACTGAGGTTTTAATTTCATACATGATTTGTGTCTTTGACAGTGCTTTTGTTTCATACAAAACACAAACGAAATAAAAATTTAGGTTCCATTTCTGTCCCTTGCCATGTTAACTGTCCAATATAAAAAGAATTGAGCATTATGAAGTAGGGTTCTGCAGCTTGCTAGATAATAAAGATATTGAAAGAAGGGTTCAATTTGGGTTGGATGCCAATAGTGGTGAAGCATCCTGCATGTTCACGTTGGCTCTCCAGAACTTTCAGGACTTGATAATTCTGCAGGAACGCAAGGTGGGGGCCTGACTTCTCTTAAGCCACACCAATGCCAGTTAAATTTGGGATTGACAGAAAAGTAGAGAAAGAATAGTTAAGTTTGCATGAACTTCATTTATGTCTTTTTTTTCATGTGTGTATTCATGCAGTGTTCACTCCCTACTCACTATAAGCCACGTGCTCTGCAAGATACTAGGTATACAAAGATGAATAAATTTGTCCTTGAGGAACAAGTAATTATAAAGTTAGAAGATAAAGATAAAAATATCCAACCTGTATTGAAAAAGAAGAAAAAGAAGAAGAGGAAGAGGAGAGGTAGAGGAAATCACCTATGAAGAAACTGAAATCCAACTAACCTCAGAGGAGTTCTTTAAAACTCTACATGCCAAAGACAATGAAGCAACTAACAGAATTATAGGGGAAAAGTTTGTGACCAAACTATAATCTATGTTTATTCTTTGTGGCGAGGACCATAAAATATAACCCCACACACTCAAAGGAAAAAATGCTTGAACACATTCTATAGCCTGCCAAGATTTTCATAAAATGAAGAGCTTAAATTGAGTTAGAAACAGACTCCCAATGAGCAATGAAATTAGCAATTTGAAAGATGCATGCAACTGTCAAAAAAGGGAGAGAGAAGATACATAATGAAAAAATAATCACTTTTTCAGTAATATTTATCAGACCCCCTCCTATATGCTAGACAGCATTCTAGTCAATGAGATTACAACAGTAAATTAAACAGACAAAAATTAAGCAGAATGCAAAGTCTGCCTTTATAAAGCCTATATTCTACAGGAGAATCAGAAAATAAACAAGATACAAAAAATGCATAGTATGAAATCACATAATACCTCAAGTCTTAATAGCAAAAACTAGCATATGGATATAAAAGGATAGAAAAAGTGAGTGAAAAAGGGATAAATATTTTAGCTTATGTAGAAGAGGAAGAAAAGACTTTAATTTCCAGGAATTTACACACACATGTGCACACACAAAATGTAGGGTAGAAAAATTATTGCTTAGACAAAATAGAAGTCAAAGGGAACAGCATTAAATAGGACAAAAAGAATAACTCATACTACTACTACTAATAATAAAAGTCAACACATTCAAAGTCCATCTTCTTATTCTTCATCTGACTCAGTTTCTGCTCTTGCCTCTCTAAGTGAGGGTATTGTCCTACTGCCCCCAAAGCCAGGCCAAAAACCTGGGCATCATTCTTTACTCCTCTGTCCCTGCGCACACCCAATCTACCGCCCGTGACGTTTTGTTTTTCTACCTCCTAAATACATCTCAATCCATCTCCTTCCCTTTGTGCTTTCTGACATTTTGCTCATTTAGAACACCATCATCTCTTACCTGGCCTTCTACCTCAACCCTCTAACTGGTTCCCTTGCCTCCTGCTTGTTTTCATCAAATCTACTATCCATGGGGAGCTCCAAACTATCTTTCAGTCTACCCATCTGATTATAACATTATTCTGTGTAAAACACCTTTGGCATCCCATTGTCCAGAACTCCTTAATGTCACCCTCTGTAGTTTAACTGTTGATTATCTCTCCAGGCTGGTATCTCATTTGTTGCTTTTTATATCCAGCCACGTGAGCATTTGCAATTCCCAAATACTGGGTCAGCCGCTTTCTCACCTTGAGGGTGTTTCCCTCTGCCTGGTACCCGCTCTTCTTCCGTCTCCCTTTGCCTGGCCAATTCCTATTGAGTTTAGACACCACTTCTCCTTGTAAACCTTTCCTCACTCTCCACTCTGCCAAATCTGGTCGAGTTCCTATTCTGAGTGTTCCAATAGAACCTTGAACTTCCCCTATCATAGTACCTTTCCACTTGATTATAACAGCCTGTTGATATGTCTGGAGTCCACACCAGATTGTAAACCCCATAAAGCTGTGGACCATATCCCCAGGACAAAGATCTATCCAGAAGGGGTTTTAATATTAAATGAGAAATATTATTTAAAAAGAAGTAAGAATGCAACCTAAGAATTTGGAAAAGAGAAAAATAAGCCAAAAGAAATCATCAGAAGGATTTGACCAAGATTAAAAGAAAATAAATCAGAAAGTAGAAAAATTGTATTTCTTTGAAAGAAAACATGCACATAATAAAGTGCATAAATCTGTAGCATTTTATATATAATCAAGAGAAGTTGTATGCACTCAATTGAAAAATTTATGAGAAATTTATGAGAAAGGACAACAGATATCAAGGATATTACAAATTATGCTTATGATTTAGAATAATTTTTAAAATGGCAAATTTCCTATCTAAACATAAATGATCAAAATTGTCTTAATAATTAAGAAATCTGAAATCTCCAGTAACTCAGAAAGAATTTGAAAAAGTACTCAATAATTACTTCAAAAAATGGATACTAACCTGGGCAACTTTACAGCTTTCACATTTTCAAGAAGCAGGTAATTTCTTTCAGATAAATTGTTCCGTGGGATAAAACAAGATGAAAGAAATTATCAAATTCATTTTATGAAGATGAAATGATTCTGTTTCAAAAAGCCAAATAAATAACAAACACAAAACTCTTGAATTGAATAGTAATCTTATTTTTGAATACAACTGCAGAAATCCTTAAAAGAATTACAATTTCAAAACAATAGCACCTTCATAAATTATCCACCACATCCAAGTAGGGTTATTCCTGGAATTCAAGAATAGCTCAATCAGAGAGAAATAGGTTAGCATACTACATCAATGGATCTAAAAAGAAAAAAATTATAAAGCTCATAAAGTCATTTCAATGCCATTTGGAATAACAATTCTTAGAAAACTTAAACACAAATGGCATTTATTCAAATTGTCAGTGATATCTGATGGCTAAAGAGTAGAGGTACTCTCTCTCATTAAAAGCAGGAACAAGACCAGGAAGTCTAATATCACCATGACTATTTATAAGAATGCTCTGAACATCAGTTTGTGCTTGTATTTGACCAAAGTCTGCCAATGTGTTTTTGCTTTGATTTTGGCTGTGGAAGTCTGAAGAGACAAATGTCTGCTTCAACTGGCTTTCTAGCGTCCCTGAGATAGTTCCTAGTCAAGGATCATGTGACTATTTAGGTTACCATCACATGTAATCATTAATGATTGGGAGTTCCAATATTAACTGACAGACCAATAGTCTAAGCCCTATAACATCTTCATTTTTATAGGTCAAAACAATTGAATATCAGCTATTTCTTATGACTTAGTCTAAAACAAATATTGAGAGAGAGTGTGTTTGCTAAATAACTTTAAAGAGGACAGTAAATCTCTCTAAAGATATGTTGGAATGTCTCACAAATAAGCCAGGTTGTTACAAGGTACACAATAAAGAGGGATCTGCTTCTAGTTTCAACTTTTCTTATTCATCCTGGATAAGGTGCTTAGGAACCACTGTAACCCACTGTAACTCCTCTAAAAAGCTGGCACAGGAAACAAGACGGCTTGGCCAGTGCAGTAGCTCACGCTTGTAATCCCAGCATTTTGAGAGCCCAAGGCAGGAGGATCATTTTAGCTCAGGAGTTTGAGACCAGCTTAGGCAACAAAGCGAGAGTCCCATCTCTACAGAAAAATAAAATAAAATAAATAGCCAGACATGGTGGTGCACGTCTACAGTCCCAGCTACTTGGGAGGCTGAGGCGGGAGGATTGCTTGAGCCCAGGAGGCCGAGGCTACAGTGAGCTATGATTGCACCACTGCGCTCCAGCGTGGGCAACAGAGTGAGATCTTGTCAAACAAAACAAAACCGCAAAACAAACAAAAGACCCCCCGCCCCCTAAAACCCAAAAAAGACCATTAGGCACCTGAACTCAAAATGTTTAAAATGTTTTTCCTCACCTGCCCACCTCTACCCTCCACAGTGAGCCATCAACCTAATAACAAGAGAGAGCAACAAGGCCTGGGGTCCCTTTGCTGGAGCACAGTCCCAAGGTGCATCCGTCTGTGACCCAGGTAAGCATGTGTCTTCCCAAGAGGCCAAAAGCATGGAAACCAAACTGCAGACTTTCTCCCTATGAGCTCCCGCATGCACCAAGTGATGCTGGCTGAGGTTTTCTTGGGTCTGTGACACAACAATATCCATTTTGAACCATCCAAGGTTTATAAAAAACATTAATAACAATATAATAGAAGGATAGAATTAGATTGTATAGTAGTAGTAATCTTTGTAGAATTGTTTGCATACTAGTACTCATTGTCAAATAAAATAATCATTAAGAACCATATTTAATTTGCAGTTAATGAACTTTACTTAAGCTGTGACTATTTCAGGAGTAATGGTCCTGCTTGGAAATTCTTCACATTCTGTACAGACGTATTAAAGGCAGAATAGCACATTATCACCTCAAATTTTCATGAGGAGGTAAAACTAAAATCATGTACAACAATCTCAATGACATATCGATATAATGAAGAGTATGAAAAAGAGTAAGAGAAAAATGAGGAACCAAAAACACATTTGATGTTGCTAATCTAATTTCAAAATAGCAGACTTAACAAACTTACTCTAAGAAAATAATCCTATATATCTGAGTCTCCAAGGCCAGATATATTTAAAAGCCTGTTGAAATGATTTATGCAAACTGACAATTGAAGCAGTTGAAGATGAAGGAGTATTCAGATTTTCACAGTCTGTGATGCCTAGGTACAAATCTCTTCTTTGTATGCATTTTACTAGAAAAATTTCCTAAATTCCATTCTGCTGGGCACAAAAAGTTATTGACAAACTAAATGTGCCCTTTCTGCATCTTGTGTATCAGTTGTTGGGACAAGCAGGACCCACCAGAAGTCCTTTAAATTTAATAGGATTCATGGTGAGTTTATGCTGAATTTGCTAGATTTCTCTTTTACATGCTTAATGAGGGATTTTGGGGATACAAGCTAACAAAATAATGAGTCTGGCTGTGGAAATATCTGTAGAATGGAAAATCAGTAAAGACAATTACAATCAACAATGAGTACACATGATGAAGGCCTCAAGTGATTTAGGAATTGTAAATATACACTATTTTAATCATAGTTTCCAGTTGTGTTTGGAAAATAATTATGACACAGTGTATTTTAACAGAATTACCTATCTTAAGAAAGATTACAGGACTCTTCATTTCTTACTCTTTGATTGAAGACAAACTACACGGAGTATAAGAGGTTTTGGAACCGGTTTGTCATGCTTATAAAAGATAAGGAAGCCCCTCTCACATGTAAAAAGGCTGCTCGAACAAAATAAAGCCTCAATATTGTATGCTGCAGATAATAGTCCCAGTCGTCCCAGTCTAGCAGGGCGTATTACCCACCAACTATTTTTTCAGAGAAAGTAGTTTGTTCTTTGCAAACTGCTCAAGTAATAATCAAACTGAGGAGTGCAAAATAATTCTGACATATTTGCACATGAGGAGTGCAAATAATTCTGACACGATTACTACTATTAAAATACTCCTATCACCCTGCTTTGGAAGAAATGCTGCAATTAGTATACAGACAGTGTATACTAATTAGTATAATTGCAAGCGGAGGTGCAGAGGGAAAATCAGACCTTATTCTTTTATTTGAAAAGCTGGCTGGGTGTGGAGGCTCATGCCTGTAATCCCAGCACCGAGAGGCCAAAGCCGGAAGATCATCTGAGGCCAGGAGTTCGAGACCAGACTGGGCAACATAGTGAGACCTCCATCTTTAAAAAAAAAAAAATTAGCTGGTGTGGCGGTACATGCCTATAATCCCAGCTACTCAGGAGACTGAGCAGGGAGGATGGCTTGAGCCTGGGAGGTCAAGGCTGCCAGTGAGCTGTGATTGCACCACCACATTCCAGCCTGGGTTTCGGAGTGAGATCATGTCTCAAAAAAAAAAAAAAAAAAAAAAGCCAATTACATTCAGTCGCAACATTTCTAGATCAAAGGTTTGAGGACATATTTTCATCAAAGGATTTATTTAAATGTGAAATATACTAGACATCAAAGTATAAGTGAAGGTGAAAATCCAAAGCGTGATTCTGAAAGTATTCGGAAAGCATCTCCTTTCAACGTGTGTGAACCTTACATTGGTGAGGCTGTATCAGTGGAACTGCATCATCACCATTGACCAAATCTTCAAGGCTAGCAGTTTAAAACAAAGTGTCTTTCCCTTCTTTGGTACTGCTAGAGAGAAAGGAAAGCCCACTGACAACATCTCTATCTCTATCAGCAGTGCCTATCTTGATAGAGCTAGACAAGACAGCTCCCTAACACCATGATGAAACTGAGCATTCATTCAACATCATCTGTGTGCAGCATGGTACCCACAGGAGCAATCTAGTGACTAACAGGGCCATGGAATTTCCTGTCCTCAGCCATAACATCAAATTTAAAAAATTAAACTACTAAAAATGTTAATGACATTTATAATGATCACTATAATTCATAATATAATTATGATAAATTTTGGGTTAATTATATATTCCTGTCATTTATTTTATGTTGACAATACATGGTGTTGGCTAAATATTAATTCTTAACATTTGGCCTTTCTGTATTTCTTTAAATTGTATGGTCACTGTCCTTTTACTTAATAGTATCCTGAAAATACTGGCTAATGCATTAAATCATGAAATAGAAATGAAGTATAATTCCTTAAGGAGAGGACATAAAATTAATACTATTTACAGATGACACAAATATAATGCTAGGAAACCTATAAGCATCAACTGGAATAGTTTTAGAATTAATGAGCATTCATTAGCAACCTAAAATGTTAGCAGCATAGAGATTTAAAGTAAGATTTAAATAATTAATAATATTAAATAATAAAAAATAAGATTTAAATAATTAGAAAGATTATTATAAAAAGAAAGAACTTTTACTAGTGAAAAAAATTGGCACTGTAAAGATGTAAATACTTCTTAATTAATTTGTTGGTTTAACAAACTCCTGGTCAGATTTCCAGCAGAATTTATTTTAGAGCTTAAATATCAAAATATCATCTAGAGAAATAAGTGGGTAAAAGTGGCTAATTTTTAAAAATCAAAGTGATGGAAAGAAAATTAATCTTTCAGATAGACACTATATTACAAAGTAACATTAAGTAAAATGGTACGATTTTACTGAAAGAAAAGGAAAGATAGCTCTCAAACAAAATAGATAGAAATATATTACAAACTTATGGAGAAGGGAAGGAATTTGTTGTAAATACCTTAAGGATAATTAGTTCTTTAGGGAGAAACAATCAAGAACCTCCTCTCTTTCATCTACCATTAGTTGAGTTAATATTTAATAAGAGCTTCTAGTAGTGCCTGACACAAATATGCTTTATATAGGTATTTATTAAATAAAGAAAACAAATAAGATACCAAGATAAATCTAAAAACTTTAAAGTAAAATAATTAACCCTATAGAAATAAATACTGGTGACTTGAGAATTTCTCTACAAAAAAAGGTAAAAATTGATTTATTTAGTACATTTGTTCCATGCCGGAAACAAAATAGAAAGCAAACAAACATCTGGGTAAAATATTTCTTAGCAAACATGGTAGACAAATATATAAAAAACTCTTAAAAAACAATAAGAAAATTAGTAAGAGTTCTTGTTAAGTAAAGAACACAGACAAGTGACAAAAATATGACATTCTGATAGATTTATGATAATAATACTTATTCAAGGTCATACCATTTTTAAAAATTGGTGAAGACTTCAAATAATCTCCATGTTTTAGAATACTGTTAAAATTTTAAAATCAAAAGTAAGGAGCTCATGGTTAAAAGGATCTCATAATGAAAATCAAGCTTCTTGCCTTCTCCTCCCTACTCTGAGTTCAATTCTCTGAAAGCAAGCACTTAACTTTGTTGCTTCTTATATTTACCTTCATGTCTGTGAGTGGTAAACATAAACTGCTTTTCCTGTTTTATCAGTTTTATACCTTAGATATTGATTTCTGCAGTAACAAATGAAATTTCAGCTCTCAGTGCATACCTTCCTCTTTTTCCCATTCTACCCATGTAATTATATCACTTTCAAATCACTGATGTCATATAACCACATAAATATTGTTCCCTGCGAAACTCACTAATGTTTTACGATTATATGCCTTTTACTGTCTTTTGCCCCCCTGTCCCTCTGGAGTTTCTGATTGCCTTTATTTTTTTATAGCACTAATTGCCTTTATCATATTGTTTTTTTCAAACTCTTGATTATATCAGGTGTGTTAGCAAATTATCTCCTGGACTTAGACCACTGTTCCATAAACCTAGATCTTTTTGCACCAATCTTGGCTACTTGCTCTGCAAAGATTTGTTGAAATGCTGTATGAAAAGAGGGAGTGGTGAGACACTCAAACAGTGCTGGTAGAGTATAAATTGTTACAACCACCCTAGAAAGCAAGTTGTCACTATATGACAAAAGCTATAAACATTCAAAGACTTTGACCCTACTTTTCACTTCTAGAAATTGCTTCTAAGAAAATAATCAGAAATGTCATTCAGATTTGTGTGCAAAGATGATAACTGTAATGATGTTTATGTGAAAAAGTGGAAGTAACTTGAGTGCCCAGTTATTTGTGAGTCGTTAGTAGATTGTGGAGTACTCTAGATTCATTAAAATTCATTGGTAGAGCACTTTTGAAATCTGCTTCAGGGAAACACCTCGAAGAGAAAAGTAGCTATCTTCAAGCGACTAAAACTGAAGTATAATAAGAGAACCATGTGATTCAAGCAAGTCCACAACAGAGCCAACAGAGTCTGCTTTCAAAGGAATCTGCAAATTGAAGGATACAAACAGGTACGCTCCGAAATCTCAAGGGTGGAATTAATTGCTGTAGTGTGCCTGTGCACATGGGCAACCCTATGTAGCATGCATGTTCCAGATGGGTAACAGGTGCTTGATTTTTTAATGTAATGATGGTTGTGCTGCTCCCAAGCAATGAGAAAGAGGGCAGCTGTGGATGAATGGGCGTAGGGAATAGGTAAGGATGTGAAACTGACAAGGAAGGGAAGCGGTGTTATTAAATAAAGGCTGAATATTCACACAGGGGATACAGAACACTTCCCCTAATGCTAAGGTGCTGAGGAAAGGCTGTGTGGGAGATGAGTAGATGCACGTTGAGAATTATGAGGGGAATTACGTCATCAGGGGAAATCCAGGTTTCACCTGGGATGAGGCGGCGGCGCATGTATTTAAAGAACAGATTGCAAATTTCTGAGCTCCTTGGCAGCAGAGCAGGGTTTCCAGAAGACATATGGTTACAGTTAAAGGAAGGGTCAAAAGGGGAAGGATGTGTCACAGAAAGGTCAGGCTGCTCTCAATGGAATGGAGACTTATAGACATGGAGAGAGGGGTCGCCAGAATTAGTCCCTTAGATAACTAGGGAGGAGAAATTCTGGGAGTTGAGGGGTACAGAGCAAAGGCATCAACAGAACAAATGGGACAGAACTGGCAGCCCCAGCATTTCAAATGAAACTTCGGAATGAACTAGGGAAGATACCTCCACAAACTATTGTTTCAACTATCTCAGGTACACCTAATTGCCATAGGCCTATCAGCATTTTTGAGGTTGACTTCATGCACAAATATTTTTGGGAAAACCTGATGGCTAAGTAATTTGAATAAACGCCTTGAAGGGAATGAAGTGGTAGGGAAGATGGATTTGGAATTATCTGTTCCTTTTTTGTAAAAGCATAGATGAGAGAGGCTTTGGGGTACACCAACAAAAGACAGAAAATGCAGTATTAGCTCAAGAAACCTGGGCCAGGTTGTTTGCCTTGAGGGAGCAAGAGGCTTGTGTGGGAGCCTTCCGGGACTGTGTGAAATCTTGGCTGAGTTTTGAGTCAAGGTCGACCAGATGCAGGTCTGGCTTCCCAGAGAGTAGATCTCACTCCCTTGCTGAAGCACAAATCTGCTGGGAGTGGCGCTGACTTTGGACTCGAGGAAGAGTGAGAGTAAATTAGTAAACAAACTAAAATAGGAAATAAAAATGATTTATGGTTTGTAAGTAGACACATAAAAATTTTCAAGGCCGGGTACGGCAGCTCATGCCTGTAATCCCAGCACTTTGGGAGGCCAAGGCGGGTGGATCACCAGAGATTAGGAGGTCGAAACCAGCCTGACCAACATAGTGAAACCCTGTCTCTACTAAAAATATAAAAATTAGCCGGGCGTGGTTGTGGGCACCTGTAATCCCAGTTACTTGGGAGGCTGAGGCAAGAGAATCGCTTAAACCTGGGAGGGGGAGGTTGCAGTGAGCCGAGATTGCGCCATTGCACTCCAGTCTGGGTGATAAAAGCAAAACCCTGTTTAAAAAAAAAAAAAAAAAAAATTCAATTAACCACTTGACAGTGTTTTACTCTCCCAGTTCTCCAAATGTTTATGTTTAACCTAGGGCACAATTCAAAGTGGGTGGTGTTGTGGAAGCTGAGTGTTTACATGTGCTTTCTTATTTCTGGGTAATTATAAGGAGTCAATGTGCACATTTTCTTTAGAGCAGGACACATAACTGTGAAGACAGCTCTATCATCTTAAAAATATTTGCATTTTAAATATTTTATTGGCCCAAATTTTGAGAAATGGAACACACAGATAAAAGAAAATGTATTGAATATTCTGACAGACAAAGAAGATTCAGGGAATCTCAAATACTTTTAAGCCAGCTTGTGATCTCATTCCAGATTTCTAGGTAGCTGCACTTGAGTTTCCAAATTTCACCTGCTAAATGTACAATTTTGGGTAAATATAGGGAACACTGTCCAGTCTTCAAAAGCAGTAGAAGCAACTTCGTTGAGGAGTTAGCATAAAAAGAATCTGTTACAAAAAGTGGGTGTACAAATGCAAATTTTTGATGGAGAATAAAAATTCACCCAAGATCTGGTTTTTAGCTTGGCTTTCACACAGGGTACTAGGCATTCACAGACCAGCCTCATTTTTCATTCCTTTGACATAAACTAGCCCCACCAGTTTGGGTTTGTAGAGAGACTTCTATCTTCCTAATACTCATTTATTGACTTCCATCATCAGAGTTCTCACGGAAAAACCTTTCACCACCATAAATCAACTTGGATGTTATTGATACTTGGCCTGGAGTTACACAAACACAATGAGATCGTGGAAGAGAGGGTTAAATGGATTATTCTGGACATCTTTCATGAAAATTGAGGCTCCTCACATTTCTCTCCTGTGTTTTCTTTTTCTGAGTGGCTTCTTAATTTCAGTATCATTTTCTTTATCCTTTCTGGTTCCTTGTTAAAAAAAAGAAAGGAATGTGTTTCCTGGAAACTGTCTTTGTCAACTAACCTTTGCATTTTAAGTGATACTTCTGTTGTCTTGATTTCTAAAGATCACGAAGGTCTAGCTTTCCTAAAACTTGTTTGAGTTCATGAATTGTTATTTTGAACCTCACTGAAATGTTTAAAATTATTTCCATTGAGAAAAAAATTTCATTCTACCAATACAACTATTTTTATCTGTAATACTCAAGGAGTTTTGCTGAGTGAAGAATGAAGAGTAATTCCTAATATAAAATTAATAGGCATGTAAGCTTTCATAATAGTACGAATATTCTCATTTTTCCTATGGGTAGGTCTTTGCTCATCAAGATCCCAATGGCTCTAGTAAGAGAAGAAATCCAGGCACCTGAAGCAGTACAGATGGTAGCAAGGGTTGTGACTAGGAGCTTGGAGTCTAAGAGAGAGCAACTCTGGCTTGAATCTTTAGCTACAATAACTGTATAGACATGAAATAAAGTTCTTAACCTCTCTGATTTTCAGTGTTTATAGGTGACTAAAGTAGGTATGGAAAAGTGGGTTTCAGATAATGGTTCTGAAGGACAGAATAATCATTTTTCCAAAAATAATAGGAGCAGATATATAAGAGAATATTATTTGAATTTTTTGTTTAAATCTAGTAAGTGGGTTGGAAGGGAAAGAATTGAAGAGAGAGTGCTCTAGACCAGGGGTGTCCAATCTTTTGGCTTCCTTGAGCCACATAGGAAGAGGAAGAATTGTTTTGGGCCACACATAAAACACACTAACACTAACGATAGCTGAGGAGCTAAAAAAAATTGCAAAAAAACTCAATGTTTTAAGAAAGTCTATGAATTTGTGTTGGGCCACATTCAAAGCCATCCTGGACCACATGCTGCCCATGGGCCATGGGTTGAACAAGTTTGCTCTAGACAGAAGGCGTGGCATGAAGATATTCTCAGAGCCAGAAGATGGGGAGAACTAGAGAAGATGAACTGGGCAGTAGGAGGAGATGAAGAAAGCAAAAGATGACTAAGACAGTCCTCTCTGCCCACAAATTCATAATATTAATAATGGATCTTTTTTACTAGAATTTGATATCACAGGTCACTTGATTTCTTAATTGGGGATTTCTTTTATGAGCCATATCCTCCACTTTGCTGTTCCCTCTCTATTTATTTGAAGAGACAAGTCCAACACATAAAAGAGAATAAAGGTCTACACCATTTAGCCTGATGTTAAGTGCAAAAGGATTGCAGAGTCAGAGATGAATATGGGATGGAGTATGGCTGCAGGCTCCAAGGATGAAATCAGGGTTTGAAGAAGTTTCCGAAATGCCAGCAGCAAGTGGAGGTCTTGTTGTTAGCTTTGACAGGTTGTAGACAGCTTTGTACTATACCTGTCCAATGCCAAGCGATATGTGCCTGATATGTAATAATTTCTGAATTTGTTAAGGGAATGAAAATAAGAATCTACCTGCTATGGGCTGAACTGTGTCCTCTTCCTCCTCAAATTCATTTGTTGAAGGGTTAACTCCCAGCACCTCAGAATGCCACTACATTTGAGATAGGGTGTTTAAAGAAGTAATTAAGGTAAAATGGGGTTATCAGGGTGTGGTCTAACCCAGTGACTAGTGTCCTCATAATAAGAGGAGTTTATGACACAGACAGAAAGACACCAGACATGTGCATGCACAGAGGGTTGCCCCTGTGAAGATAGAGGGAGTTGGTGGCCTTCTACAAGCTAAGGAAGGAGACTTCAGAAAAATAACCCTGCTGGCATCTTGATCCTGGGCTTCTATGCTCTAGAATTGTAAGAAAGTACACTCTGTTGTTGAAGACACCCAGTCTGTAATTATTTGTTACGGCAGCCCTAATAAACTCACACACGATCCATTTTGTTTTACTTTCCCTTCAAATAACAATGATGTCTTAGTTATATGTGTTGTTTAGTCCCATGGTAGTAACTCATTTTTTACCAGTCCTAAATGACTTATTTAGGGAGAGAGGAGAAAATAAATTTGGAGAAATGCAGAACATACATGAATGGGGAACAGAAACAAAAGTATACATGAAAAAGTCTACAGTTGCGATGGTGCAAGGCTACCCTGGTTAAGTTGAGGGAACCCTTCCCTTATTTCCCAATGACTCAGAGACTGGTCACTGCTTGACAAAGTTTCTCCCTAGAGAAGTCACTAGTATTAGAAGAGGACACAGAAACCAGGGCCACCCTCTTAAGTCATTGTTTCAGAGATAAGCCAGTGTGGGGGAAGATGTGATGAGGCATAGAAGCTGGAATTTGAGCCTTGGTTAGGTAACTGAGGAGACCATAGGAATTGCTTGGGTGGGGAAAAATTAATTACGTGATTTTGTCTCACACTTTGATACATGCAAAATAAGTTTAGAACAAACATCAAGGAAGAAAGAGGAGCTAATAATGATTGAGTCATACCTTTTAAGGAATATGTGTCAAAGATAGCCTTGAAAGAGAAAAGAAGTGGAGAAGATACTCCAGAAACTCAAAATGGAATGTCAGGTGTGGGCAAAAAGAGTTTGAGATAACAGGGAAAGGGTTTAGAGCAGAGCAGGAGGGAAGAACACAGTGGGACCGGTGCTATTCCAGGTGCTAATCAATGCCCTGGAACTGCTCTTACTGATCTAATGGGGATCCAGGCAGGAAAGACACAGTCCCTCTTCTCCAAAATCTCCCAGCCCAGTGATGAGCACTAAGTAAATTGTGACGACTCTACAGACTTGCAAGTGCTAAGGTGGGAACCCATGGTGTGCACTGGGAGCACAGAGGAGGGACCTCTTGCCTGGTGCTAAGGGAAGGGGGTCAGAGGAGACCTCCCCAGGAAAGGTGACAACTAAGCAGAGTCCTGATTGAGAGTGGGGGCTAGGCCAGCAAAGAGATGTGTGGAAATGCATTTCAGGCCTGCAGAAAGTTTGTGAGATGGGAGAGCATGACTCATTCGTCAAACCACAGGAAGGTATTATGGCTGGAGTAGAATTTTTCTGAAATGCGGTCTTTTCTCAGTGGTAGGGAAGAAGGGCAAAGGGAGAGATGTATAGTGTCTCTCTCAGAACTTAAAAATTCTTTTTTGTTAATGCAATTAATATGTGTGTACCATGAATCACCTGGATGATTTGCATATATTCAGGAGTGATTATAGTAAAGAAGAATTTAGGACAACACCAAATCCAGCAATATATTGTTAAAATGTTGTTTTGAATTAATGCATAATTGTACATGCAGGTATACCTCATTTTATTGTGCTCTCCTTTATTGCCCTTCGCAGATATTGTATTTTTTATAAGTTGAAGGTTTGTAGCAACCTTGCATTGAGCAAGTCTATTGGCACCATTTTTCCAACAGAAGTGCTCACTTCTTATCTCTGTGTCACATTTTGGTAATTCTTCCAGCATTTCAAACTTTATAATTATTATTATTCTGTTATGGTGACCTGTGATCAGTGATCTTTGATGTTACTATTATAATTGCTATGGTTTAAAGGTCCCTGTAGCCCATGGATCAAGGAGTAATTTTGACTTTCAAGCCTTATAATTTAAGAAACTCAAGTTAGCACATGAATTATAAGAAAGCAAAATGCCAGATTGTTGATATGGAGAAAGTTTTAGTAGTCTGGGTAGAAGAACAAACCAGGCACAGCATTTCCTTAAGCCAAAATCTAATCCAGAGCAAGGCCCTAACTATTCGATTCTATGAAGGCTGAGAGAGGTGAGGAAGCTGCAGAAGACAAGTTTGACACTAGCAGAGGTTGGTTCATGAGGTTTAAGGAAAGAAGCTATCTCCATAACATAAAAGTGCAAGGTGAAGCAGCAAGCGTTAATGTAGAAGCTACAGCAAATTATCCAGAGATCTACTTAAGATCATTGGGGAAGGTGGTTGCACTAAACAACAGATCTTCACTGTAGATAAAACAGCCTTCTATTGGAAGAAGATGCTATCTAGGACTTTCATACTAGAGAGAAGTCAATGCCTGGCTTCAAAGCTTCAAAGGACAGGTTGACACTCTTGTCAGAGACAAATGCAGCTGGTAACTTTATGTTGAAGCCAATGCCTATTTACCATTCCAAAAATCCTAGGGCCTTTAAGAATTATGCTAAAAGCTGCTCTTCTTGTGCCACATAAATGGAACAACAAAGCCTGGATGACAGTACATCTATTTACAGCATTATTTACTGAATATTTTAAGCTCACCGTTTAGACCTATTTTTTTTAAATGGCTTTCAAAATACTACTACTCATTGACAATGTACCTGGTTACCCAAGAGTTCTGATGAGGATGTACAAAGAGATTAATGTTTTCCTACCTGCTAACACAACATCCATTCTGTAGCCCATGGATCAAGGAGTAATTTTGACTTTCAAGCCTTATAATTTAAGAAACTCATTTTATAATGCCATAGCTTCCATAGACAGCGATTCCTCTGATGGATCTGGGCAAAGTGAATGGAAAGCCTTCTGGAAAGGATTAACCATTCTAGATGCAGAATAATCCCATTTAACTACTTTTTCTTTTGTTGCCTATGCTTTTGAGGTCTGAAAAATCCTTGCCCAGACAAATATCACAAAATGTTTTCCCTATGTTTTCTTCTAGTAGATTTATCTTTTTAGGTCTTACATTTAAGTATTTAATCCATTTTGAGTTAATATTTGTAATGATGAGAGATAGAGGTCTAGTTTTACTTTTCTGTATGTGGATATCCAGTTTTCCTGGCACCATTTGTTGAAGAGATTGTCCTTTCCTCAATATGTGTTCTTGGCACCTTTGTCAAAAATTAGTTGGCTGTAAATGTGTGGATTTATTTCTGTATCCTCTATCCTGTTCCATTGGTCTATGTGTCTATTTTTATGCCAGTACCATGCTGTTTTGGTTACTATAGACTTGTAGTACATTTTGAAGTCAGGTAGTGTGATGCCTCCAGCTTTATTCTTTTTGCTCAAAATTGCTTTGGCTATTTGGAGCCTTTTCTGGTTTCATATGAATTTTAGGATCAACTTTTTCTATTCCTGTGAAATATAATTTTGTGAAAAATATCATTGGTATTTTGATAGGGATTGTATTGAATCTATAGATGACTTTGAGTAGTATGGACATTTTAACAATATTAATTCTTCCAATCCACGAACATGAGACCGCTTTCCATTTATTTGTGTCCTCTTCAATTCCTATCATCAATATTTTACAGGTTTTATTGTAAAGAGTTTTCACTTCCCTGGTTAAATTTATTGCTGGGTATCTTAATTTTTGTAGCTAGCATAAATGAGATTGCTTCCTTTCTTTCTTTTTTAGGGAGTTCTTTATAGTTTTATAGAAATGCTACTGATTTTTGCATGTTGAATTTTGCATCCTGAAACTTAAATGAATTAGTTTATCAGTTCTAAAAGTTTTTTGGATAGAGTCTTTAGGTTTTTCTATATGCAAGTTCATATCATTTGCAGACAGACACAGTTTGACTTCCTCTTTTTCAATTTGAATGACCTTTCTTTCTCTTGCCTAATTGTACTTGCCAGGACTTCCATTACTGTTTTTAATGAAAGTGCCGAAAGTGGGCATCTTTGTCGTTTTCCAGATCTTAGAGAAGAGCTTTAAACTTTTCCTCCTTTAGCATGATTTAACTGTGGGTTTGTCATATATGGCCTTTATTGTGTTGAGGTCTGTTATTTCTATTTGTTGAGAGTTTTTATTATGATGAGATGTTGAATTTCATCAAATGCTTTTTCTGCATCAATTGAAATGATTATATGGTTTTTGTCCTTGATTCTATAATGTTTATTGATTTAGGTATGCTGAACCATCCTTGAGTCCATGAAATAAATCTCACATAATCATGATAAGTGATCTTTTTAATGTGCTGTTGAATTCAGCTTGCTAGTATTTTGTTAACTTTTTTTTGCATCCATGTTCATCAGGGAGATTGGCCTGTAGTTTCTTTTTTTGGTTATGTTCTTCTCTGGTGTTAGTATCTGGGTAATGCTGGCTTTATAAAATTAATTTGGAAGAATTACCTCCTTTTCAATTTTTTGGAGTAATTTGAAAAGAATTGATGTTCATTTAAAAAAAATGTTTGGTATAATACAGCAGTGAAGCCACTTGGTCCGGGGCTTTTCTTTGATGGGAGATGTTTTATTATTGATTTAATCTTGTTATTTATTATTGTTCTGCTCTGTTTTCTGTTTCTTCATAATTCAATTTTGGTAGCATATGTACCTAGAAACTTAACCATTTCTTCTAGATTTAGCTTTTCATAAAAGTCACTTATGATCCTTTGTATTTCTAGGATCAGTTCTAATGTCTCTTTTTTCACTGCTGACTTTATGTATTTGGCTTTTATCTTTATTTCATAGTTAGTCTGGCTAAAGATTGGTTGATTTTGTTTATCTTTTCAGAAGAACAATTATTGGTTATGTTGATCTTTTTAATTTTTTTCTCTATTTTGTTTATTGTTGCTCTGATCCTTATTATTTATTCCCTTCTACCAATTTTGGCTTTGGTTTGTTCTTGTTTTTCTAGTTTCTTGAGGTACAATGTTAGGTTTTTATCTGAGATTTTTCTATTTTGTTCATATAGATGTTAATTGCTATATACTTCCCTCTTAGAATTGTTTTTGCTGTATCCCATAGGTTTTGGTATATTGTATTTCCATTTTCATTTGTATTAAATTATTTTTAAATTTCCTTTTTAATTTCTTTATTGACCCATTGGTCTTTCTGGAGCATGTTTAATTTCTATATATTTGTATGTTTTCCAAAATTTCTCCTGTTACTGATTTCTAATTTTCTTCCACTGTGGTCTGAAAAGTTACTTGACATAATTTTGATTTAAAAATTTTTTTTGACACTTGGCTTGTGGCCTAACATATGATCTATCCTGAGAAGGTTTCATGTGCTGTTGCGAAGAATGTGTATTCTGTAGCGGTTGGGTGGAATGTTCCGTAATGACTGTTAGGTACATTTGGTTTAGAGTGCAGTTTAAATATGATGTTTCTTTGTTGATTTTCTGTCTGGATGATCTGTCCATTGCTGAAAGCAGGGTGTTGAAGTCCTCTACTATCATTGTATTGAGGTCTCTCCCTCCCTTTAGATCTAATAATATTTGCTTTACGCATTTGGGTGCTCAACTGCTAGTTTCACATATATTTACAATTGTCATATGTACTACTCCTGCTCTCTTTTGGTTTCTCTTTGCATGGAATATGAGCTTCCATCCTTTCACTTTCAGTTTATGTATGTTCTTACAGGTTAAGTAAGTCTCTCACAGGCAACACATACTTGTTTTTTTTTTAAACTCTATTTAGCCACTTTATATACTTTAATTATGAAATTTAATCCATTTACATTCAAGATTATTATTGATATGTAAAGACTTACTCCTGCTATTTTATTAATTGTTTTCCGGTTGTTTTGTTTATCTTCTGTCTCTTTCTTCCTCTCTTATGGCTACATTTATGTTTGGGTGATTTTCTGTAGTAATAAACTTTGATTTCTTTCTCTTTCTCATTTGTGTATCTGCAGTAATATTTTTCTTTGCAGTTATTCTGGGGCTTACATAAAATATTGTATAGTTATAATAGACTATTTTTAGCTGATAATAATAAACTTTGGTTGCATACAAATATTCTAGACTTTTACTATCCCTTCTAAAATTTTTAATTTTGCTGCTTAATTTACATCTTTTTATATTGTGTGTTCCCTAACAACTTATTGTAGCTAGACTTATCATCGACCATGTTGACTTTTTAACTTCACAGTAGAGATATGAAAGATTATGTACCAACATTATGGTAATGAAGTATTTTGAATGTGATAATAAATTTACCTCTACCAGTGAGATTAGACTTTCATATGTTTTATGATAGTAATTATTGTCCTTTTGCTTCCAATTGGAATACTTCCTTAAACATTTTTTGTAAGGCTGGTCTAGCGGTGATGAATTCCCTCAGCTTTTGCTTGTCTGAGAAAAAATGTATTTCTCCTTCATTTCTGAAGATAGCTTTCCTGAGCATAATATTATACATGACATTGTAATGACACTTTGAATGTATTATCTCATTTTCTTCTGGCTTGTAAGGTTTCTTTTGAGAAATCTGCTAATAGTCTAATAGAAATTCTTGTGTATGTGACTTGATATTTTTCTCAAAAAGCCCCCAAATCCAAAAACTTTTTTTTAAGAATGTCATAAATGACTAAGCTAGAAAGAGAGAAGAAGGTGAAGTTGGAGAAATGCAGGACAATACATAGTTGGAGAACAGAAACAAAAGTCTACATAAAAAATACAGTTGAGATGGTGTAAGGCTACCATAATGTAAGGTTAAGGGAATCCTCTCTTTCTTTTTCAGTGACTCAGAGACTGGTCACTGCTTGATAAAATTTTTTTTCTAGATAATTCACTAGTATTAGAAGAGAACACAGAAACCAGGGCTACCTTTTTAACTCATTGTTTCAGATATAGGGTGAGGAGTGGTGTGATGAGGCAGAGAAGCTGGAATTTGAGCTTTGGTTAGGAAAATAAAGAGACCATAGGAAGAGCTGGAGTGAGGAAAAATTAATTATGCGACTTCTTCTCACACTTACATACATGCAAAATAAGTTTACATAATAATTATTGAGTCATACTCTTTTTTTTTTTTTTTTTTTTTTGAGACAGAGTTTCTCTCTTGTCGCCCAGGCTGGAGTGCAAAGGTGTGATCTTGGTTCACTGCAACCTGCACCTCCTTCATTCAAGCAATTCTCCTACCTCAGCCTCCGGAGTAGCTGGGATTGCAGGCATGCGCCACTATGCCCAGCTAATTTTTTTTTTTTTTGTATTTTTAGTTGAGATGGGGTTTCACCATGTTGGCCAAGCTGGCCTTGAACTCCTGACCTCCGGTGATCCACCCGCCTCGGCCTCCCAAAATGCTAGGATTATAGGCATGGGCCACTGCGCCCAGCTGAGTCATACTCTTTAAGGAATATGTGTGTCAAAGATAGCCTTGAAAGAGAAAAGAAGTGGAGAAGATACTCCAAAAACTCAAAATGGAATGTCAGGTGTGGACAGAAAGAGTTTGGGATAACAGGGAAAGTGTTTAGAGCAGAGCAGGAGGGAAGAACACATGGGACTGGTGCTATTCCAGGTGTTAATCAATGTCCTGGAACTGCTGTCACTGATCTAATGGGGATCTAGGCAGGAAAGACACAGTCCCTCTTCTCCAAAATCTCCCAGCCCAGTGATGAGCACTAAGTAAATTGTGACGACTCTACAGACTTGCAGGTGCTAAGGTGGGAACCCATGGTGTGCACTGGGAGCACAGAGGAGGGACCTCTTGCCCGGTGCTAAGGGAAAGGGGGTCAGAGGAGGCCTCCCCAGGAAAGGTGACATCCAATCCAAGTCCTGATAGAGAGTGGGGGCTAGGCCAGCAAAGAGATGTGTGGAAATGCATTTCAGGCCCGTGGAAAGTTTGTGAGATGGGAGAGCATGACTCATTCATGGAACCGCAGGTAGGTATTATGGCTAGGATAGGATAATTTTTCTGAAATGTGGTCTTTTCTCAGTGATAGGGAGGAAGGGCAAAGGGAGAGATGCACAGTGTCTCTCTCAGAACTTAAAAATTTTAATAAGGCAATGAATGTATTTGTATATATACTCTAAATCATTTGGATGATTTACATATATTCAAGAGCTATAACAGTAAAGAAAATTTAAGACAATACCAAATTCAGCAATTTTTTTTTCCTTTTAAAAGGATATATTTAAACACTGATGAGAGATGCACTAGAATTGTAGGCAGGACTTTTTTTTTTTTTTTTTTTTTTCAGTTATGGTTTACCTGCAAAGTTCCTAGTCCTAACAGTAGTTCAGGAATCCACAGATGTCTGAAGTGTGAGCTAGCACCCCAATTCATCTGACCATAGGAAAGGCTTTAGTGGACTCATACAATTCAAGTGAGACTCTGGCACTGTCTTTGAGTTTCAGTAAGTGCCTTTCCTTTCAGAGATACTGGAGAATTAGAACTGTGTAGAAAGTCTTCCAGCGTACAATATAGAAGCACAAATAGAGCCATTGACCTTAATGGGACATTTGAGGAGGTCATACAATAAAACAGCAGTCTCTGTTAAGAAATAACACTAATGGGCCTGGGGGTGCTAAATAGAGGGTGGATTATTTTCTTACCCATATATTGTACTTGGCTTCCACGTCATCTGGAAGAAATTTCATCTGTTATCTTCACTTGGTCTTCATTCTTATTTTAAAAAACCTTCTCTTCAGAGCAGAGCAGGTATCTGGTGAATTATCACTGTGACTAAACAAATTGTCCTTTGCCCAGTGATTTTTAAATATGTACACTACCCACCATGGAATTTACTAGGCCAGCTAAAACTTGAGTAGGAGATATAACTAATTCTAATGGATTTTATTTTGATGTAGATAAGTACTACAATTTAGAAAAGCATAAGGCAATTAGCAACTTAAGACCTTGCTAATAAAATGCTATTTCACTTTCTGGCAGAGAGTGCAATAGACAGAGATCAATTCTAAGAGTAAATTGGTTGAATATTAGTGCAGAGCCCTGTGATGCCATCAAAACATATTAGGCATATTTACTATATCATGGAAAGTCCTCAGTAATAGCACATACCTCCCTGATGGAAAAAGTGGCCATTTATTTTTAAAACTTTTATTTATCTCAGCTCAAATTTTTAGATATGTTTCTCCCCCAATTAGAATATGAGAATAGGGACTGTATTGTTTACAACTAACTGTATTGCCAGCATCTAGAACACTACCTGGTCTGTAATAGGCTCTCCATAAATATTTTCAGAATAAATTAGAATCATCTACACACCTACTTTGACATACACTGTCTGGTGCTTTCAGATCTGTCTCACTCAATTTTTGTCAGAGCTAGTCAGACGTCCCATTGGTCCAATGTGGAAGCTGAGATCAGAGCTAACTGTCCGAGGACAAATAGCTAGCAAGTGTCAGATGTGGGATTCAGCCCAAGCCTTCTAACTTCACTCTCAAGAATGTTTTCTTGTCTACCTTGGATTTAAGGAACAATTCTGGTTCTTTGCTGAGAGGACTGGGTACTGGCTGCTAGAAAGCTTTTTGAATTATTTCTTCCTTCTCCTTCCTTCCTTCCTTCCTTCCTTCCTTCCTTGCTCCTTCCTTCCCTCCCTCCCTCCCTCCCTCCCTTCCTTCCTTCCTTCTTTTCCCCCAAAGACCCCTGATATGAACTAGATAGGTTACTAGTGGATTTCCTTCCAGATTTCAATGTTTACTGATATACCAAGACATTATGCAACCTCAAAACACTTCTAACCCAAGAGCACTTCTAATGGTACCCACGGGGGTCCCTCAGGACTCTGGCTCATAAATGGGCTGTCAGGCCTCAGAGCCCTCAGTTGGCCGCTTGGGGCTCTTCCCTCATAGACATGCTTCCTTGTGTCACATGGACAGACAGAAAGTACTGTCTTGATGAGTCATTTTTGGCTCTGAAGCTACTTGTCACTCAGGAGGCAGGAGAGGGATGTGATAGAATCTTTGCCTGAATTCTTGAAGGGAGAGGCTTGGCCTGGTTACACATATTTCTTTTGTTACAAAATCCTCATTAAAATAGACACCTTTTACTTGACCCAGCAGATCTGTAGTTGTTTATTTTCTCTCTATTGTAACCAAAATTTAATTTTTCCCCAACCTTTGGACTTGACCATGAAGATGATAACCATTTTTAGATATTTATATAATATTTGTAATAGATTTCATGTAATGTTTATATTATATATATTTTATAAATGTAACGTTTCTCACTTTCTTCTTAACAAGATCTGGGGCAAACAATTTCAGGTTAAAGAAATGGTATTTTTAAAAGTTGTAGGGGACATTTTATGGGTAGAGGCCTTGCACCCGTGTCTCCCTTCTTAATTAGCTGGCTAGATTGCAGACTCACTCTTTGAGCGAGAGGACTTGGTTTGTGTGTTTGGGGGCACCGTGTGTGTGTGTGTGTGTGTGTGTGTGGATGCATGCATGCCCATTTGTATTTGTACATAAGTTAAAAAATAAGAATCGTGCCGGGCATGGTGGCTCACGCCTGTAATCCCAGCACTTTGGGAGGCCAAGGTGGGTGGATCACAAGGTCAGGAGATCGAGACCATCCTGGCTGACATGGTGAAACCCTGTCTCTACTAAAAATACAAAATATCAGCTGGGCGTGGTGGTGGGTGCCTGTAGTCCCAGCTACTCGGGAGGCTGAGGCAGGAGAATGGCGTGAGCCCGGGAGGCAGAGGTTGCAGTGAGCCGAGGTCGCGCCACTGCACTCCAGCCTGGGTGACAGAGCAAGACTCCATCTCAAAAAAAAAAAAAAAAAAAAAAAAAAGAATCCTAACACACAAGGAGTTTTATTATTTACCCAAAGATGTTGGTAGTTTCAGGGAAATTTCTAGGAAGGGGACTTCCATCCAGATGGCATTTTCCAGTAGCAGAAAGAGAAAGGAACGATGTGACTGTTAGTGCAAGCACTGTGCTGGGAACTCCACGTATGCTATGAATTCAATCTGTACTTAAAAATAAGTTTTACTGAGTACCTTCTAAAAGTAAGTTACTGTGCAAAAGCTGGGAAAACAAAGATGAAAAAAGTACATTCCTTTACGCCAAGGAATTTACAATCTGAAAGGTGAGGCAGGTGAACAACTGGTGATTTTAATTGGGTGTAATAAGTGTTATGCAAGACGTTTGTACCGAGTTATGGTGCAGGAGGACTTAGGAGAGGCACCCTTATTTTGTCTTAGCCAGACAAGGCTTCATAAATATGTACGTTGGAGGGGTTTAGGGAAGACTTCCCCAGGGAGGAGACATTCACCTTGAGTCTTCAAACGCCAGTCCAGAAGCATAGGGACAGCTTCACTACAGGCAGAGGGAAAAACATGCCAAGCTCCCAGAGGCAGAGCTGGACAAGTTCAAGGCTCCTGCTCAAACACCAATGCCTGGGAGGCAGGGCCATTTTGAAGAGTTCAGATTCATTTTGATGGCTGTGGTTAATGGGTCAAGGATTTAAAGTGGGGGAGAAATAGAATTAGTTTTGCATTGATAAATATAAATCTGTTAACATTTTGAATATAGACATATGATTATTTTTGTTTGCTTTTTTTGGACATTTGCTTCTTCAGAATGATAAGAAAGGAGGAACAGGGACTTTGCTGTAAACAGACATTCACAGGATCACCTGATTATTATGCTGGTTGTTGGTCTAATTCTCTTCCCATGAAGCATTTTTTTGGAAAATCTAGTGTGTTATGAAATTAACTGACTTAAGTTAACTGTCTTGCAATATGATGAATGGATTAAGGAGAAAATGACACTAGAGGCTGGAAACCAAGCATGAGGTTGTTTGAGCAATCCAATGAGTGGAAATGCTACTAGGAGATAGAATTGATAAGATTGGGAAGGAAGGGTTGAAGAGACACAAGCGTCAAGGATGTCTTGAGAATTTCTGGCTTGGGCAACTAGGAGGACAGTGATAAAACAATAGTGAACATTTATTGAGCACCAACTACGCACCAGGTACTGTTCTATGTCGCCTCACATATCTGAGCTCATTTCATACTTAACAATAATGCGTGATGTAAGTACTACTCTTTTCACATTTTGCACATGAGGAAATGGAAACAGAAAGGATAAGTAGCTTGCCCAAGGTTACACAATTAGTAAGAAATAGATTTGGGAGTCGTCAGTTCATAAAGGTCTTGCAGACGAAAACAATGGATAGAATTACTCAGGAGGTATCTGTTGGATGAGGAAAGGGCCAAGGGCGAATCTCTGGGAAATTCCAGTGTTTCAGGAATCGGCAGAGGAAGAGTCGTATATTACAATATGTCAGGAGTCAGCCTGTGAAAGAGGACTGAGTTGGACCAGTACAAGAGGTTGGAGACCCTGGAAGACAATGGCGTGATAGACATCAAGGGCCTCCAGGGCGGGACTACCGCCTGCTTATTCTGGATAAGGAAATGGAACCTGGGGAATGGTAGACCTGAGATTTGCTGGAAGCCCTGAGATTTGCTGGAAGCCTTGTGTTCTTCCCATGGCTCCAGAACCCCTTTGGGATTAAGGCATCATTTGTAGGACAAGCCTGTGGTTTTTATTTTTGGACTCGATAATCTGGATTGATGAAGAATGCAGGAGTGGGACTTGGTTATGAATTAAAGATCATATTATCTCCTTCTTAAAATGCTGGTTGTAAATTTAATTTCTTCTCTAAGAAATCGTTTACTGGAACATTTATTGAGTAAGAAAATTACTTGCTTTGAATTATAGCTCTTCTTTTCTCTTTAGTAAGAATTAGCTAAAAAGTATCTAGGAAGAGAAGCAGAAAACCCCAATTATCCCCCAAAAATTCATTCTCATAGTGAACCTTCAGAAAGTCTATTGGAAACCCTTATTATTTACAATAACTGTTAAGATAAGCTTATTGAATATTCTTCCCAGATTAAAATTCACCAAACCTCATCAGTTCTCAGAGATCTCTGCCTTCCTCAAGCCACTAGATAGCCAGTAATTTCCTTTCCTTTTATTGAACTGTATCAGCTTCAGAAGACGCGATATAATCCTATTGGTTTCTGTCCTCACAATAACACTGCTGGGACCCATCCTGAGGGTCCTTGAGGGTCTTTAACCTCTAATGTCTGGCCACTCTTTCTTCTTAGTCTGAGCCATATATATCATTCTCATATATGCCACACATACCATACATGTCGCATTCATTCAAATCCTACATTTAAAAATCTCTTGCAAAAGCCAGCTTGGGCCAGGCATGGTGGCTCATACCTGTAATCCCAGCACTTTCGGAGGCCGAGGCGGGCAGATCACTTGAGGTCAGGAGTTCGAGACCTGACCAGCCTGGTCAACATGGTGAAACCCCGTCTGAACTAAAAATACAAAAATTAGCTGGGCGTGGTGGTGCGCACCTGTAATTCCAGCTACTTGGGAGGCTGAGTCATGAGAATTGCTTGAACCCTGGAGGCGGAGGCTGCAGTGAGCCGAGATCATGCCACTGCACTCCAGCCTGGGTGACAGAGCGAGATTCCGTAAAAAAAACAAAACAAACAAACAAAAAAAGCCTATCTCAAATACTTGAGTCCTTTATGAAGTTTAGCACTTGGCTTATTTTTTGAAAGAATACTACCTTCTTTCCTGAATTTATATTTTCATCTCCCCTCCTCCAACTTTCTCTGGCAGTGCTTTTTGCAGCTGGACTCCCAATTTAGTCATCATAAAATCACTGTAGTCATAAAACCTGCTTGGATAGCCCTGAGCATAACTTGTCAATTTTTATTTATTTCTTTGTTTACTTGTTTGGCAGTCTCTTCCACTACCTTAAAGATCTAAGGAGATAGGAATTGTGTATTTTTTTATTTACTAGTGTAAATCCTATTTGATTGTAAGTCCAGTGTTCTTTTTCCCACAATATACAGGTAGCAGAGGCAGAGAGGGGAGGTATGTCCCTGACACAAGGACCCTGGAAAAGAGATGGGAAAATTAGGAAATTTACCCACTCCTAAGGCTAACCAGAAAACTCCACGCTAGATAGCTGGTGTGAGGGCTGGGTCTGTAGGGAAGATGAGCTGGGAGCCAGAAGATGAAGTGTTGAGATGGATGATAAAGGAAAGTCTCAGCCAAGACAGGAGCTGGAGCTAGCTCTGAAACACATGGGAAGCTGGCAGGATGCGGTCAGAGGTCAGAGAGCGATCAGGGTTGGTTTAGGATAAATTTTGCTAAGTCAGGGTGTCTGAGGACAGATCTTTTTTTATTAACCATTTTGCATGCTCTTGTCCCGCAAGGACCTGTGCCTCCTTGCACATTCATTTTGCAGAAAGATGCCACTAGGAAAATTTGAACTGAATAGGAAAAAAACTATCTGGTGAAATGAAAATGATCAGAACCTTAAATGAAACTGTGGCTTATCATTCCTTTCAACAGTCCAAAAAGGAAAATCCAGCATGAAGGCAAACAGATACTAGAGATTACCAAAAGTAGATTACAAAATGTGCAGTAAAAATTAAGTGGAAACCTTCAGAGATTGTTGAAAGGGAAAGTGTTCAAGAAGAATGGGAAGCTAAAAATTGAAACCAAAAGTATAACTATAAGCAATCAAATCAAAAGCAATTTTGATGAAGAAGAAAAAAGATAACTAGAGATCTGTATAACTACAGGGAGAAGTTTTATTAGAGTTGCTTTTTAAAAAAAAATACATAAATAATGTAAGGAGGGGAATATAATCAAGTTCAGATGTAAACATGGCTTTAATTTATCTGTGAAAAACTAGCTCTGTGACAAAATAAGAGAAAGGAAAAGCTAGTTTCTAGAGTGAGTGGAAGATATTGCAAAAATTCTTAAGCTGTGGGAAATGGGTAAACAATAAAAGGATCTTTCAAAGCTATATTCTCAATGAAGACGAGCAGCAGGAGCCTGCTTTTTTCCAGTATTGATGTAACTTTTTAATAATATAAAAACATAAGGCCTGGAAAGAAAATTTCTTCCTGTATATTCTATAATAACTCAGACTTATTAGTAGCATATTCTTTTGTTAATAACTTTATACCCCACAATAAGCTTTTATATGCACTATTTTATTTAATAATATTTAACTACTTTCTCCTAACACATTTTCATAAATTAGAAAATCAACAGTCTTCCCTCTCTACCTTCTTAAGACACTTTAGTGTGCTGCTTTATCTCTACACAATCTTCAGTGCTTTGCCTTATATCTACAACTCAAAAGAAAATTTCTGTAATAAATGTAGTCCCTGGCTGGGTGCAGTGATTCATGCCTGTAATCCCAGCATTTTTGGAGCCTGAGACGGACGGATCGCCTGAGGTCAGGAGTTGGAGACCAGCCTGGCCAACATGACAAAACCCTGTCTCCACTGAAAGTACAAATTAGCCAGACATGGTGTCCTGCGCCTGTAATCCCAGCTACTCGGGAGGCTAATGCAGGAGAATCACTTGAATCTGGGAGGCAGAGGTTGCAGTGAGCCAAGAACATGCCACTGCACTCCAGCCTGGGCAACAGAGCAAGACTCCATCTCAAAAAACAAACAAACAAACAAACAAAACCAAATGTAGTCCCTAATGAAGAAACAATGATAGGAAATTAAAGTAAAAATGCCTTTTTTCTCAGATCAATTTTTTCTTTTTAAGATACTTGCAAATTACATTTTCTCCACTGCCTACTTCATAGCTCAAGTCTGGCAATTTCAGCTGGAATTAGGAAGAGCTCGTGTGCTCAGCCTCAAAACCATGTCTACATTCCGACTGCCTGATTCTTCCTCTTACAGACCTCTCTGTACAACGTCTGTTGTGTTTCAGCTTTTTGACTCTTCAAATTAGCATCTCTTCCATAAATTGGATTTTGATATTGTTTCACCCCAGTCAACATTCAGTAATAGAACTTATGTGAAACAGTTCTTCCTCTGTCCTTTGCACATTTTCTTTCATGTTCTGCATTTGATGATACTTTGCTCTTTCCTTTTCTTCTGAATCCTTGATTTGAAAAAAACTTTGTGTAGCTCTCTGTATATCTTACTAACTAAACTTTTCCAATTGATATGACTGTCTCCATCATTTCACCTACAGCCTCAATGAAACACTTTCCTCTAGGCATCTTGAGATAAGTGGCACATGATATTTTCTCATTCTATAATGGGGAAAGGCAGAGAGAGGCTAAGTGCCTTGACTATCTGAGTGAGGAGTTGATCTCCAAGGAGCTGTTTAATGAGTAGACATTAGTTTCTGTTGAGTTGGATGATCTATATTTGGACCATGTCATTATTAATAGTTTCACTTTCCTGAAAATTAGGTGTTCTCATAATTTGGAGTTCTGGCTAAATTAAAGATTGTCATTTTCCTTAGTTATGTTCTATTTTTCTGATATGTTATATTTGCTCCCACCTCTACATTAGTGGATGGTGGCTTTTCCAAAGGTTGTTGCTGTTTTCAGATTCTGTGTTCCCTAGAAGGGATCGAAGCCCTTGAAACATCACTGAGAATTTATTACTTATTGATTATTTCTTTCATTTTCTATCTAGGGTTTTGAATTGATATCATATCACTTTCAATGTAAAGAAATAAAGTGAGTATAGATTAGATTAAAAAAAATGAAAAGCATAATTAGAATTAGGATGTCCTAGATGTTTTCTGGTCATCTTTTGAGAGCAGAAAATAATCAATATGTAGATCTACACATATAGGAAAAAATGCTAACCAGTCAAAGTGGAGAGGTGGGCATTTGCTTGAGTTTCTATGCATGTTAGAAACAGTTGCTCTTTGCTCCATTTTGTTGGATCCAAGTCATAACAAAGTGGTAGAATGTTCCTTGAAAGGGGAGGAGTATGGGAGAGAATTGGGAAAAATGAAGCCACTGGTACAGAGACCTGGTCATTAGTCCAAAAAGATAGTTTCTTCCAGATAATGTACAAAAATAGAATGGATGTGGTGGGAGAAAGAACAGCCAGAAAGAAACAAGGCTGTGCAAATGCTTTATCTAGAAAATGTTAGCCCTCCCTGGCTAATCTTGAAACTGTTTGGAAAAAATCGTTTAAACAAGCTACTTTCCAGTTCATGAGATCCTTTCCACTTTGTAGCAAGATTATGTGCTTTACATACACATTAGCAGCTTTGAGATTGTCTAAATCATGCTTCATTGCTTTTCTCACACTCCAGGAAGAAGGGAGGTTGAGAATGGGGCCAGGGCTCCAGGCCTGATCCTTTCTCCTCTTCCTCCTCCTCCTTCTTCCTCTCCTCCTCTTCCTTCTTCTTCTTTAAAAGTAAGTCTTCAGTACTGCTTCCCTTAAAGTCTTGCAATAACCTTATCTTGAGCTATAAGCACACACAAATGAAGTATATTCCTTCATTTGATCCCATTTTTCTTTTTCCCACATTTCTCTAAAATAAACCAACATAATAAAGTCATAATTTGGAGTTCTGGCTAAATTAAAGATTGACACACAATGTCATTACTCTTCATTCTTTGCTTTTGCAAGTCACGTGTGAGAAAGAAACATATTTCTATGGCCTTTTGACTGCCCTTGATAAAATCTGTACTTAGGGAAATAGCAATATCAATAAATGCTAAATAATATTAACACAATGTATGCAGGGGTTTTTAAGCTTCACAGAAAAAAAAATTTAAGACATGAATTTCCAGGAAAATTATTCTTGTAACTATCCCAAATGGTTTTTCTTTCCATCAAAAGAACAAATGGAAAAAAGTGCAAAAGCCAAATCAAACAAAATCCTTAGTGTGAAATATATTTTGGAGCATGTGGAATTAAATTTGCATTTTCAAATAAAAACAAATGCCCGTTTAAAAAGTCATCTAACTTTTGTCCTACGAAGACAACCAGTAAAATATACTGTTTCCCTTTTCCCAGCATACTCATGTTTGGGAAAACATGATTATCTGAAGAGAAATTTACTTTTACTAAATTAGAGTTTGAGGGGGGAGTGTGGAAGGAATAATTACAGATTATCCTTTTATTCAATCTCTTCTCTTGGAAAGAAGAGAAGAAATGTTGAAAGCCAGAGAACTTTTCTAAAACGCTGTAGGGAATTTTTTTTTTCTGTAAATATCCAAGTCCAAAAGGAGATTTGCAAAATGTGGAGTTGGAGATTTGAACTCATACAATATTTCCTAATACAAATAAAAATCTGAACCTTTTAATGGCGACACAGTCCACACCATGAATGGTCAAAATCACTGGAGCTAATGTACAGGAAGGGGTTCCTCAGGGAACTGTGGCAAATTTTAGCATCTTCCTTTCCTTTTAGGGACTGGACACTCATCCTTAGGACTTGAGAATCATATGTGAAAATTATATAGACTTCCCACAGTCTACTGACACATTACAGAGATACTGGAAATATTAACCACACATGTTGTCTACATACTCTCTTTCTCATCATCATAAGCCACCTGTGTTCTCACTGACACTGCAAATCCAGTAACCAAAACATCCTGTTAAAATTCTCTGGCCCTTCTTATCCATGTGCTGTCCTTTGCCACAGCTCCTAAATCCTCTTACCTTTGAAAATCTTTCCTGCTACCCTTTAGAACCTCCATTCAGCCTCTTTCTCAAGTTGCTTTGTACATAGTGTCTTCATAGCAGCCTTGTAGGAACCTCAGCTTCCTCACCCCAATCATTGTTTTCTTTTCTCCATTTGTATTGCTTTTCCTCCGGGGGTATCTGTTAATCCTCCATCAGTCTATTGACTTATGAATATAAAATCCATGCTACCTTTACATTGGAACACATAAGGTACCTAGAATTCCTTTTGACACCTAGTGGTGGCTCGATAAACACGGATGCACATCACGTTAGAGAAAAGGAGTTTTCTGAGTCCAGATTTCTTACATGAAAACAAATTTCAAATGAATAAATTTCTCACTGTTATTTTAGGATAGCTCTCTGCCAAAGACCTTTTATTATACAAAAGTTGAGAATGATTGAAGTTATTTTGCTTAATTTTTTGCCACTAAATTTGATGTGCCAAAGAAACTTCTAAAAAACAAAAAAGAAATGCATAATATTCCCAGCTACTCAAGAGGCTGAGGTGGGAGGATTGCTTAAGCCCAGGAGGTCCAGGTTGCAGTGAGCCGTGATTGCACTCCAGCCTGGGTGACAGAGTGAGAATTTGTCTAAAAAGGAAGGAAGGAAGGAAGGAAAGAAGGAAGGAAGGAAAGAAGGAAGGAAGGAAGGAAAAGCAAGCAAGCAAGCAAGCAGGAAAGAAAGAAAGAAAGAGAAAGAAAGGAAAGAAAGAGAGAAAGAAAGGAAAGAAAGAAAAAGAAAGGGAGAAAGAAAAAGAGAGAAAGAAAGAAAGAAAGAGAGAAAGAAAGGAAAGGAAGAAAGAAAGAAGGAAAGGAAGGAAGGAAGGAAGGAAGGAAGGAAGAAAGAAAGAAAGAAAGAAAGAAAGAAAGAAAGAAAGAAAGAAAGAAACCATGAAGGTAGCTGCCGTATTTCTATGAAACCTTCCCTCCAGAATTAGTTCCTTTTAGCATCTCATTCAGACACATGGAAAGCTTGTTTAAAATGACTTCACAAATTAGACTTAATGAAGTGACTTGACTCAACTCCCCTCACCCTCAAGTGGTCTTTCCCTGCATCAGAGTCCCTTTAGTTTCGGATGTCACTCATGACATAGAATGAACATTTAAAAGATGAGGAGGCAGCCACTGGCTATCACATTTTTCTGAGATGTGTGAAATATGATTCTAATATTAATAATAATAATTAACAAACAATAATATCCTAATATAATTATTAATCATGAATTATTAATACATAATCATATCATTATTTTCTCTTAGTCTAATTTATAGGTTCAGATGTGTGCATGCATGTGTGTCAGTGGCACTCAGAGAGGAGATTTAAATAGAGAGTGGGAAGGGAGATAAAAGATAACTGCTGCAGCACTGGAGCAAGAAGCCAAGGGGAGGTATCCGTTAAAAACTTTTTGGGATGTGAACCTTTTGTTTTTCTAGATTCTGGATGCCGGAACATCTGTTTTTTGAGATGCATCTGTAGGAGCATTTTTGTGTGGAATATTTGAAAGTTATCTTGAAAGTAAAGGTCAGAGACAGGAATTGAAACAGGGCTTAATTCTTAAACAAGAAGGTATAAGATATTGCAGTTGATGGAACTGTGGTGAGCATGTTCCCCAAGGGTGGTGAGCATGTCTGTGTGGGCATAGAAGATACATGTACGAACATTTTTATTTTATTTTATTTAGATGGAGTTTCACTCTTGTTGCCCAGGCTGGAGTGCAGTGGCGCAATCTCGGCTCACCACAACCTCTGCCTCCCGGGTTCAATGATTCTCCTGCCTCAGCCTCTTGAGTAGCTGGGATTACAGGCATGCGCCACCATGCCTGGCTAATTTTGAATTTTTAGTAGACATGGGATTTCTCCATGTTGGTCAGGGTGGTCTCGAACTCCTGACCTCAGGTGATCCACTTGCCTCGGCCTCGGGATTACAAGTGTGAGCCACCATGCCCAGCCAAACATTTTTATTTTTAATAGCTTAATGAATGTATAATGATTAAATGTTTAGCATGTATTAAACTATGATTTCATGTAGTTTTTTTAACCATACCAACCATGATTTCATATGGATTATTTAAGCATACCAACCATAATTTCATGTACATTATTGCTTAAGATAGTAATGATATAAAATTTTCTTAAAATTATTCATGTAAAAGAAACAAGTCAGTTAAAAGGAAAATATTAAGTAAAAATGTACAGGTGGCACCCAAATATGGTAAAAATTGTGAAGCAGTTTAATGAATAACTGAACTTTGGGAAATGCTAGATTAGAGAATTGGAAATACTCTTTTAAATAAACACTTGCTATCTATGATTATCCTATGGATGAGTGTCCAAGAAATAGAGATGCATATGTTGTATGTTTTTAAAATGTACAGGATGAATTTACATTGACCATCATATTTCCTGTGCTAAATCAACCATTATTTTTTGGACTATAGGGAGAAGCTGTGTTTCTTCATAGCTCCTGGAGATGTGTGATGTGTCACAGGCCTAATAACTATATTACACATTTTTTCACAAAAGTGCTACATAGAGTAGAAATGTATAATAGTTACCAACCCAAGACTAAATCAGGCCTAGTGGTGTGGATAGCTTCACTTTGCCTATGATAAAATACTTCCTCATTCTTTGTGTGATTTTCAAGCAACTTAACGACTGTTAGCTTTGCTGAGCTAAATGCAACATCTCATACCAAATTTATTGGCTTGGCAAAGTTACAAATTTTATTACGCAAAAGTTGAGAAAGGAAAGCTGGAGAATGCTAAAAACAGTACAATTTGCTACTGTGTAGTATCTGTATTGGGGGCTCAGCATGTTTTATTTATAGATATCTATTAATACAGAGATACAGAAAGAAATACATAAAAAATAGTTTTATCAAATACTTTCCAGCATTCAAGTGTAGCCTCAAAAGCAAGAATAGGCCAGGAGTGGTGGCTCACGCCTGTAATCACAGCACTGTGGGAGGCCAAGGTAAGAGGATTGCTTGAGGCCAGGATTTCAAGACCAGCCTAGGCAACATAGTGAGATCCCTATCTCTACGAAAAAATTTTAAAACTTAGCTGGGCATGGTGGCTTGAGCCTGTTGTCCCAGCTACTCAGGAGGCTGAAGTAGGAGTGTCACTTGAGCCCAGGAGGTTGAGGCTGCAGTGAGCTATAACTGCACCACTGCACTCCAGCCTTGGAGACAGAGTGAGACCCTGTCCCCAAAAAAATTAAAATTGAGAAAAAAAAAAAAGGCAAGAACAGCCACAGCAAACTTTCTATTGGGGAAAAAAAAAAATCCTCCTCTTTACATCTCTCCCTTCCTTCCCTTCCCTTTCTGAGAGTGACTGTGGCCAAAAGGAGCATTTTCCCCCTGCAGTCCTCTGAGGGGTGGGGTGGGGCTATGAAGCTATCCTTCATATTCACTCCTTTGTCCAGCTCTTTTCACCTCTAGTTCTTCTCCCCGCATCTCTGTCTAGCAGTGCCTTAAGTGGAGGAGGGGTGGGGGCATCAAGCTTGTAAAACTGGTTTGTTGGGGTTCTCCTTCTCCCCTCATTTCTTGATTCTTGGGAAAATGTCTTGCTGGGAGGCTGCCTGGCAGTGCCCTAGCTGCCTTCTGTGGGCTTGAATGGGGCTTCCCTCTGCCCCTACAGGAGGAAAAGGGAGCTGCTGCCAGAGGGAGAAATGGAGAGATGGACAGAGAAGGCAGGTGCCACCCCTCGCCCCTGACACACAAAGAAAAAGACACGGAAATTCTCTCTCTCTCTTCTCTTCTCCTATCTCTCTCTCTCTCCCTCTCTCTCTCTCTCTCTCTCTCTCACACACACACACACACACACACACACACACACACACACACAGGCGCGCGCGCGCGCGCGCAGGCACACGTCTTGCAAATTCAGGATTCAAAGAGACAGGGGCACCATTATATTTGGCACGGTGGGGCCCTTCCAGGTCTGAAATCCTGCATTCTTCCTTACTATTTACTTTCCCCGAGCTCGAGAAGGGCCAGGTGTGGGCGGATGGCTGGCCACGTTTTGTGTTTCCAATTCATATTCACGGGATGACACAGACGGGGCGTGGTGAGTGCTGTTGGAGGCGCTTGGGCAGTTTCATTTTGCCCCACTTCTCCACCTGAAGGCTGGGCGTTGCTGGAACCTGCAGGGGCAGCCTCAGCAAGGTGGGGTGGCGTGGAGTGGGGTGGGAGAAGGGACTCCAGCTGAAGTAGAACCCAGGCTGGACCTGAGAATATTGGGGAGGGCATGGGCGGTGGTTTCCGGGTAGGGGCCTTGAGAACATGTTGGTCCTGACTGTTGTCAGTGTTTGGTCAAAGTTGCCAAAAGGTTAAAAAAAAAAAAGTAGGGGGAGTCCCTGCCAAGACATATTTCCCAGGCCACCTTTCTTCCGCGGGAGTGTTGGGGGGGAGGCGCTGCTTGGAACCTGTGAATGTGACATCAGCTCTCCTCTCCTCTCCCAAGGTCGGCTTTGGAGAGGGAGGTCAGGGCACCCTTGCCTGGCACAGGCGGCAGCGCTGGCTTCCGGCTCAGTGCCGCCTGTCCTCCGGGAGCTGTGGCCTCCCTGGGCCCCGGGGCTAGGCTGAGGTAAGCGCACAGCGGAGGCCAGGGGCCCCGGCAGAGGCCCTGGGGATAGGGTGGAGGCATCTCTGGGTGTGGGTGTGGGTGTGGGTGTGGGAGGGAGAGTTCTTGCCTCTCTCTCTCCCATCTCCAACTCTTGCTTCAGTGGCTCTTTTAGAGGATGCATGTCATTATGGACCTGTCGCTGCCACTGTCCCTGTTCCCCCAGCTGTGACTTCGAGGGAGGTCTGGGGATCTGAGTCTGTCCAAACCCACGGCTTTGCTGTTGGGATAAAAACTGTCCTTTTGATTTTAGAAGGAGGAGGGAAAAAAGGTTTCCCAGCATGTGTGTTGTGCCAGTCTTGGAAATTCATCCGTGCTTGAATTCCACCCTCCATCCCCAGAAAAACTGGAGTAAAACAAAAAGAGGAGATGGACAAAGTGTGTATTTGATGGCATCCCCTGGGAAGAGACTCTAAATTTATCCCATAGGTCTTACTGGGCCACTGTGAGCGCTTTGGTGGAGAACAAACAAAAATTCTGGGTGCTCAGTTGTCTAACCTGAAAAATGGGACTAGCGGAAAAAGCCAATGTGTTCCATGCACCTTTTGCTTTCTTTATTAAGGCATGATGTCACCTGTACAGTAACTGCCCTGTGTGTACTTCAGGGGGGGATTTCAAGGTTAGATAGACAGGAAATTGTTTTGAAAATGTAAACACATTATTAAATGTGAAGTATTATCTGATTCCTTGTTCGAATGGCATTTCCTTCTCAGCACCACCTTCCTTGCATATTCACTTAACCTTGTACAAGAACACCTTTTTGCCCTAAATGAAGACACCCCCCCAAAAAAAAGAGTCCCAGAAAATATGTCCCTGCTTGTGCGGGGAATAAATAGAATATTCTGAGGTGCATTCCTCCTTCCTATGTTAGGCAACATTCCTTGACCCTCCTCGGCCCCCAAGCCAGGTTGCGTTTTTTTCTGCCATTTAGAAGGGTTTTCCTTTTTGTCCTAGTAAAACATCAGCCCCTGTAGCTCTTCATCTCCCCCTGGTGTTCTTCTCCCGCCATGTCTTAAGATTGGTGGCACCGACCAATCTTAAGATTTAAGTTCTGTGTGAAAAACACCTTTGCTTTTCAATCAGTTTATCAGCCTCCTCCGCAGGGGAAGTGTGGACACACAAAAGAACTTATCGGGGCTTCTCATCAGTGATAGGGAAAAGACTGGGCATGTGCCTAAACGAGCTCTGATGTTATTTTTAAGCTCCCTTTCTTGCCAATCCCTCACGGATCTTTCTCCGATAGATGCAAAGAACTTCAGCAAAAAAGACCCGCAGGAAGGGGCTTGAAGAGAAAAGTACGTTGATCTGCCAAAATAGTCTGACCCCCAGTAGTGGGGCAGTGACGAGGGAGAGCATTCCCTTGTTTGACTGAGACTAGAATCGGAGAGACATAAAAGGAAAATGAAGCGAGCAACAATTAAAAAAAATTCCCCGCACACAACAATACAATCTATTTAAACTGTGGCTCATACTTTTCATACCAATGGTATGACTTTTTTTCTGGAGTCCCCTCTTCTGATTCTTGAACTCCGGGGCTGGCAGCTTGCAAAGGGGAAGCGGACTCCAGCACTGCACGGGCAGGTTTAGCAAAGGTCTCTAATGGGTATTTTCTTTTTCTTAGCCCTGCCCCCGAATTGTCAGACGGCGGGCGTCTGCCTCTGAAGTTAGCAGTGATTTCCTTTCGGGCCTGGCCTTATCTCCGGCTGCACGTTGCCTGTTGGTGACTAATAACACAATAACATTGTCTGGGGCTGGAATAAAGTCGGAGCTGTTTACCCCCACTCTAATAGGGGTTCAATATAAAAAGCCGGCAGAGAGCTGTCCAAGTCAGACGCGCCTCTGCATCTGCGCCAGGCGAACGGGTCCTGCGCCTCCTGCAGTCCCAGCTCTCCACCGCCGCGTGCGCCTGCAGACGCTCCGCTCGCTGCCTTCTCTCCTGGCAGGCGCTGCCTTTTCTCCCCGTTAAAAGGGCACTTGGGCTGAAGGATCGCTTTGAGATCTGAGGAACCCGCAGCGCTTTGAGGGACCTGAAGCTGTTTTTCTTCGTTTTCCTTTGGGTTCAGTTTGAACGGGAGGTTTTTGATCCCTTTTTTTCAGAATGGATTATTTGCTCATGATTTTCTCTCTGCTGTTTGTGGCTTGCCAAGGAGCTCCAGAAACAGGTAGGCACGCTCGTTGACTTGTAAGTCTCGGAATTACAAGTTAGTGTGTTCTTATCCACCTTCATGCTTTTCTTGCTTCTATTTTTCCCCGTTCTTTTTATGACTGCAGCTTAGAGAGCAAGTGTCTGAGAATTATTGCTGAAAGCTACTTTAAGTCTTCTAGTGTAAAATGTAAAATTCCTCTATTGAATACAATTAGGTGCAATTGACTATAACATGACATTAAAATAACTTATCGTTTTATTATTATTATTCCATTATGTGTTTCCTTGGCTTTTAAAAAATGAGAAGAGTATGGACATATACAATTTAGTCAAATGTATGTTTGTAATATATGTGTTTATACAGGTACACAGGCCATATAGGAACTTAAATCTTATTTAAACACTATTTTAATAGTGTGTTAACGTGTAAAATATTTAAGCATTCCAGCTTGAAGCCAAGGAATTGTATCCAGTCGTTCAAGCAATGTATGTTCAGTAAAATCACCTGCAGAGCAAAAGTCTGTTGACTAACTACCGCCTCCCCCCCCCCCCGCCACCACCCCCCGCAGGCGGTTTCTGGGTGAAGCAGATGTTTTCTTTAAAATTTGTCATCATTGACTTTAGGTTTCTTTTGGCAGGTTTTTGGCACCCAAAACAGTGTGAGCTCTCTTTTCAGCTTTATTCACCTGTGCTGGGAGGGGAGCTAGGATAATTCTTGGCTGCCGAAGGATTTAGGCAGTGCGTGTGCATCTGCCCGGGTCCCCCCCGTTTTTAGGGTCAGTGCACTTTTTTTGTCTTTTCGTGACCCTGACTAAAGAGAAAGGATGTCAAGGGAATGAAAATCCTGGAATGTGTCTGATCATTTGAAATGTACAAAATTGGGCAGATAAGCTGCATGGCTAAATTGTTAGGAGGAAGAGGCAAGGCAGTAGTGGAGAAGGGGGAGGCAGTGGATCCCACACAAGCCTGATGCCCAGGGATTCGGAATTCAAAATCCCCCCAGCCTACCTTCAGTCCCCTGACCTGCTTCTCAGCCCCACCTTAGGTCACTGGTTTCTATGGAGTTACCCTCCTGAATTGAATATTGAATAGTTAATTTCTCTCTCCAATCATTTTCCCCACCTAATTTTGAAAGATATACATCATCTGGGGTACCCTGTGCCCTACACAGCATGTGAAGTGGATGGGTACCCCCTAAAGAGAGGGTCATCCTGAATGGGGAAGTGGCCCCAAAGCTAGGAATAACTGTGATTTCTTGTCTTTAGTCATGTGCCAATGTTAAGTAAGCTTCAGTGGATAGTGCTGTCCTACCAAGTTCCTTGTAGAAGCCAGCCGGATTTTCAACAGGCAGCATTCCACAGCATTTCCCTGAGCCTGCTTCAAGAGGGGTGGGGGAAGTCCCTTTTCAGGTGTTTATCTCCTCTGCATTTGTGTAATCTCCCTGAAGGTGGATAAGCCAAGGGCATGAGGGGGAGGCAAAAGGTGAACTCATGTTAAGGAGGGAAAAAAATAAAGAGCCCTTTTTTCTGTGTTTCTTGCTGATGGCAGGCTGTGTGCTTCATCTGCTTTTATCTGCTCTGCTAGCTCTGACTCTACTGTGATCCAGCATGTCTCTCGGCGTTTGAGGAGACATCCCCCACTGACCTGCTCTTTCTCTCCCCAGCAGTCTTAGGCGCTGAGCTCAGCGCGGTGGGTGAGAACGGCGGGGAGAAACCCACTCCCAGTCCACCCTGGCGGCTCCGCCGGTCCAAGCGCTGCTCCTGCTCGTCCCTGATGGATAAAGAGTGTGTCTACTTCTGCCACCTGGACATCATTTGGGTCAACACTCCCGAGTAAGTCTCTAGAGGGCATTGTAACCCTAGTCATTCATTAGCGCTGGCTCCACTGGAGCCCAGTTTTAGAGTTTCTTTTCTAGGGACTCTGAAGGTAGTCCTTCTAACACCATCCAAGTGCCTCAGTGGGGACAGTTTCCCTCTATTCCTGAAAATAACGACAGCTTCGTTCTTAGCAACCAAGGGGAGGGTCTTCTGAGGCCCCGTAGCTCAGGCTACTCATGATGGGACAAGCAGGAGGCCACTGCACGTTTCAAATGAGGAACTTTCAGTGAGAGGGCCTCAGGGGGACACTCTCACAGTGGCATCTGATGGGGTTTCGGGAATAATTGCCGAGGTCAGATGTGGGTTAGTGCAACCTGTGCTTCTCATGGGAGGGTGGAGACTGAGAGGCAGAAGTGATGATATAGAGGGTTAGAATCACTTAATTTTACTTACAGAAAAACCTAGGCTCAAAGTGTTGAAGCCATTTGTGCAGGAGTGAGTTTGTAGCAGAGCTAGAACTGGAGCCCGGATTTCCTTTGCTGCTATATTTTCCCTTTAGAAATGCCCATTTCAGAACTGAAATAGAAATACTGTCCATAGGCTTCTCTTTCACCTACAGAGAAGAAAAGCAGATTTCCTCCTTCTGCCCTGGACACTAGTTCATCATCTGTCGGAAGCAGTCATAAACAAGCACACATTTACTATGCATACAATGTACCGTTATGACAAAGGAGGACCAAAATCCAAACAATATCAAACCACACCAAAAACCACAAGGAGCCTAATAATTACTAAGGTGATACTTCCAAAGGGAGGACTTTATTTCTTAGATGAGAATGAAAATGGACACATTGGAAATTATTGGAGAGCCCTCTGGCTATGAGTCCTTCCACAACCATATGGTACCACCGACTGGCAGGAGAAATGTGTGAACATGTGCCTCCTCCTCCCCCAACCACTGGGGTCGGTGGGGTGACGGTGGCACTTTTAGCAGTATCCTCCGTGGTTTGAGTTGAAAATAAGTTTTAAAAATCCTGTGAGTCATGGTTTTGCATTGAAACCTCTTCCCACTGTGTACCCACAAATAGTTAACTAAATAGACCATTAGAAAAGGAAGAAAATATAAAGCAGATGCCAAGCAGAGATGTCCTAATTTTTGACAAAAAAGCAATGTTGCTTGTGTCAAGAAGAAACTGAACTTTGTGAAGAGTTGAAATGGAATTCCACTGAATTAGAAAAACTTGTTTTCTCCTGCCTGGATACATACAGTCAGGGCCATTGATGCACAGGTGTTCCTGGCTGTTGTTACACTTTACCCTCTGAAATGATGCTCCCAAGTGCTATGTGATGAGCTCCTTGTGTGCCCAGTGGAATAGGTGTGTCCATGTGTCATTTTAAAGACTATTAATTACACTAATATAGTTTCTTTCTCTCTTTGGATAATAGGCACGTTGTTCCGTATGGACTTGGAAGCCCTAGGTCCAAGAGAGCCTTGGAGAATTTACTTCCCACAAAGGCAACAGACCGTGAAAATAGATGCCAATGTGCTAGCCAAAAAGACAAGAAGTGCTGGAATTTTTGCCAAGCAGGAAAAGAACTCAGGTGAGCAGAAACACCTTTGCTTTTCAATCAGTTTAACAGCCTCCTGAACTCCTTCCTATCATGGTACTGCCTTCCTGTTTTAGAGAGACTAACAGAGACATTGAAAGTCAGGGTAAAGCTGAATATAACATTGCTGAAATGTTTTTCCTTGTGTATTTTAACAGGGCTGAAGACATTATGGAGAAAGACTGGAATAATCATAAGAAAGGAAAAGACTGTTCCAAGCTTGGGAAAAAGTGTATTTATCAGCAGTTAGTGAGAGGAAGAAAAATCAGAAGAAGTTCAGAGGAACACCTAAGACAAACCAGGTAAGAGGGAAGGAAGAAAAATTAGGTAAGAGGTTCACAAGAACAACTAGCCCCAGTCAGTGATGCCAGCAGCCTGTTCCTCCAGCCCTTCTTACCCGGGCAGGTGAAAGACTTAGAAAACAGTAGCAGAGGAGATCTATGCATCCTATAGATTAAAAGGAGCAAAAGAATCCCTCTTAAATATTTCCATGAAGCTCTGGAATGCAAACCGATGTCCTCTGTACTTTTAGCACATACCATTTCATCTACAGGTAGATTTCCCAACCAAAATATATCCAGAGATGCCTTTGTCATTGGGTTATATACAGCCTTTGCCTCTCTGAGTCAATGTATTTACCACTTTCCCTGAGAAATCGAAAATCATTTTGGGGAGCGGACATTTAGAAAAAGAATCAAAGTGTCATGGATAATCAAATTCTTCAATAAGTTGCAGTTATTCAGATGGCCAAAGGAAAAATAAAGTCATTAGATAGGGTTGGTAGAATTTAGAACATGCTGTTTTTCAGGTTTATGGTCTTTTTTTTTTTTTTTTTTTTAAATAGGGAAATGTGTTTGGTGCAGAGCCAATGTCATTCCAAAAAGCTCTCTCTTTTCCTGGTCAGTCATGTGCTGGGACAGAGAAGGGATCTGGATTAGGCAACATCATAGAGTTGCTCTGAGCTGCTCTTTGGTGATAACCCTTCCAAATCCTAAACTTTTTGGAATTCACAAGCTCAAAGGAGGAAACCTACTCTCTGATCTACCACATGTTCTGCATTTTTCTATCATGGTCTATGGAAACTTCTCTTAGAAATCCAGTGGCAAGAAGTTCTATGATTAAAGTGTTCTGAGCTCAGGCCAGGCAGTCATGAACTACTTCTGAGTTATTTACTACTGATTTGTGGGGCAGCCTCAGCTATCGGTTTCTTCACACCTGCTTATGAGAGTATCCATATTTATGGTCGCAGGCCAGTAATGCTCCCCACGAGATCAGTTTCTGAACTAACCTGGAATTTTTTATGGGTTTTTATTATGCCAACTATTAAATCAACATTACAGTTCTTCCCTCTGTATTTCTCCTGTAAAACATTAGGCCTGCAAAAAAAAAAAATCTTTTTAAAAATAATTGCCATAAAGTATTTGCTCTGGGCCTACTGTATGCTTCTTTTCTTTTTCTCTCTTTTCAACTAAGTCACCGTCAATTTATTAAGATGGCCATAACTATTCAAAACCTATGCTGAGTTCCTCAAGGCAGGGTCACATAGTGATGAAGGTTGGGATGGGGCTACGGAAGAAACCAGAACAACTCTAGTTTATTTAAAACCTGTATTTACTGCCCACTTCCCCTTAGACTTGACCATATGACCCCTCGCTCCCATTCTAAGCATAGGGGCAGGCTTTATTTTTACAATGGTAATAGATATCACTTGAGGTTTTATCAAAGAGTTGCGGCGGGTGGTGAAAGTTCACAACCAGATTCAGGTTTTGTTTGTGCCAGATTCTAATTTTACATGTTTCTTTTGCCAAAGGGTGATTTTTTTAAAATAACATTTGTTTTCTCTTATCTTGCTTTATTAGGTCGGAGACCATGAGAAACAGCGTCAAATCATCTTTTCATGATCCCAAGCTGAAAGGCAAGCCCTCCAGAGAGCGTTATGTGACCCACAACCGAGCACATTGGTGACAGACCTTCGGGGCCTGTCTGAAGCCATAGCCTCCACGGAGAGCCCTGTGGCCGACTCTGCACTCTCCACCCTGGCTGGGATCAGAGCAGGAGCATCCTCTGCTGGTTCCTGACTGGCAAAGGACCAGCGTCCTCGTTCAAAACATTCCAAGAAAGGTTAAGGAGTTCCCCCAACCATCTTCACTGGCTTCCATCAGTGGTAACTGCTTTGGTCTCTTCTTTCATCTGGGGATGACAATGGACCTCTCAGCAGAAACACACAGTCACATTCGAATTCGGGTGGCATCCTCCGGAGAGAGAGAGAGGAAGGAGATTCCACACAGGGGTGGAGTTTCTGACGAAGGTCCTAAGGGAGTGTTTGTGTCTGACTCAGGCGCCTGGCACATTTCAGGGAGAAACTCCAAAGTCCACACAAAGATTTTCTAAGGAATGCACAAATTGAAAACACACTCAAAAGACAAACATGCAAGTAAAGAAAAAAAAAAGAAAGACTTTTGTTTAAATTTGTAAAATGCAAAACTGAATGAAACTGTTACTACCATAAATCAGGATATGTTTCATGAATATGAGTCTACCTCACCTATATTGCACTCTGGCAGAAGTATTTCCCACATTTAATTATTGCCTCCCCAAACTCTTCCCACCCCTGCTGCCCCTTCCTCCATCCCCCATACTAAATCCTAGCCTCGTAGAAGTCTGGTCTAATGTGTCAGCAGTAGATATAATATTTTCATGGTAATCTACTAGCTCTGATCCATAAGAAAAAAAAGATCATTAAATCAGGAGATTCCCTGTCCTTGATTTTTGGAGACACAATGGTATAGGGTTGTTTATGAAATATATTGAAAAGTAAGTGTTTGTTACGCTTTAAAGCAGTAAAATTATTTTCCTTTATATAACCGGCTAATGAAAGAGGTTGGATTGAATTTTGATGTACTTATTTTTTTATAGATATTTATATTCAAACAATTTATTCCTTATATTTACCATGTTAAATATCTGTTTGGGCAGGCCATATTGGTCTATGTATTTTTAAAATATGTATTTCTAAATGAAATTGAGAACATGCTTTGTTTTGCCTGTCAAGGTAATGACTTTAGAAAATAAATATTTTTTTCCTTACTGTACTGATTTGGAATCATTACTGAAATTTGTAAGGAGTGGGCCAACGTGATTAAGTACCATAAAGGCAAATAAATGGTTAAAGACGGTTTCATAGAAAAGTGACAATTAGAAGGATATTACGGTCTAAGCTAATTATATAAAGAATTTTATCTGTATCTTAAATGTTGATTTTATACTGCATTGAGGTAAAAACACAAAACAAAAAAGCAGCTTTAACACCTCTGTCTTCTCTTGGGTAGCAGCCTCCTGCTTCTCCTTCACCTGAAAAATTCTCCAGGGACTTCATCCATTAACTTGGCTCAGGCTATTAGGCAGGATTCAACAGTTTAAGCTGATGGTGTGGTGAGAGATGCTTTATCCATATTAATGGACTGAAGGAAGTAATGGCAAGACAACCCCCCAAAACATACCTAATTATACAAAGTTATATACCAAAGTTGCTTTTAGAAAATGGCCTGCTCAGAGCAAGTAGAGGTTTCCAATGGCTTTTTATTTTCTCACATTAAGGATGTTGTTTCTTAAGGAACATTGAGTACCATTGCTTCTTCGTGATAGCCTAGGACTGGCCGTGTGCCCATGGAGGTAGAGACACCAGGTACTGATTCTAGGTCCTCTGCCACAAAGCACCACTTCCTCTCCACTTTGCCTTGGCTGGCCTTGTCAGCTCACTGGAGAGCACAGTATTGCAATTGCAGTATTGCAAATGGTCACTACTAACTGAATTCTCTAAGAGCTTGATTAGCCCTCGAGAATCTTCCTTGCCCTTCTCTAATAGTGTCTGAAGGAATTCCTGGCATTTAACAAATATTAGCATGTAGTGATCACTGTCGTCCTAACAGTGACACATCAGAAGGATTTCAAATAACAGTCTTCAGGCATGCGTAATCAATGTCCTGTGCAGAGTCTCCGTCCTCATTGATCCTCATTTTTCTCTTTAAGGCACAGTCCAATGTCTTTGGGGAATTGTTTATAAAGCTTACTTTATCCATAAACTGTTTCTCAGTGCGTGACTCTGAAGAAAATTTTGAAGTTTTGCCCATGTTGACAAGGTGCTTGGTCTGAACTTGGCCAGTATTTAATCTTGAGCAAACGATTCAATTTCCTTCTATCGTGAGTTTTCTCATCTATGAAACAAGGGAGTTGAGGGGAGTTTCTTTCATACCTCTGAGAAAGAGTTTGAGATTACATAAAGAAGTTGAAGTGGCATGAAAAAAAATAAAGATCTGAGCTTAGAAGACATGGATCTAATACATTTAAGAGGAAGTCAGAATCAGAGAAGCCACTGAACAAAACAGTCCAAAGGACAGCATAGTAAGTCAGATTGATGAGTTTTGGTTGGGTTTTTCATCAGTCAAACCCTTGAGCCCCCCTTTCCCATGCTTCCTGCTTCAGTATCCAGTAGGAAAAATGAAAGGGATGATGTAGACACTCTAGGGCATGAGGATTTGCAGTAAATAAGTTGGGAGACTCACAGAAAATTAATATTTTTCAAACATGAAGACGAAACATTCAATTATATTACAGTCCACATCAGCTTGAAGGGTAAACTGATGGGATGGTCTGTCACATTTCTTGCTCTGTTTCCAGTAAAAGCATGGTTTCTGGAAACCCACTTAGGACAGCTTTCTCTCTTTACACTGATAGCCCAGGCAAGCTTTGATCTCAGAACTCCAGAAACCAGAGAACTCTAGGTGGAATGTGGTAACTTTTGCCAGGGCAGAGGGAACACCTACTAATAGGTACTTCATTTGCACCACCAGAGATTGGCATCTTTTTTGATGGATCCACTGGCTTTGATACTGCCTGTACTCCCCCAAAACACAGCTTGGGTATTGGACTAATCTAGAGCTCCCTCAGGAGAACTCTTGCTGACATTAAGAAAGAGCAACATTTTGTCTTTCCAGGTGAAAATCCAAGGCCCAAAAAGGGAGGTGACTCACCTAAGATCACAGAAGGAGCTGTAGCATCTCTGGAGCCTGAACACTTAAGTTAAGCACGACTATTTCAGCCAGAGGGCCCCTGGAGGTCTGCAGAAACAGATGCCCAGGCAAACCTTGCTAGAAGGCTCTGGGTACTAAAGCCAAAATCAGTCTTTCTGAAAGCTTTGCCTCCCAGCCTTGTAGACAGTGCTAGCAGACCCATCCCCTCAAGAGGAAAGAGAAGAAATGCAGGGGAAGAAAAAAGGACTATAAGGAGGCTATCTCATGGCATCGTTAAGTAAATGTCTATAGGATAAAATAGAATATAACCAAGAATTTTTAATTATTATTTTTAGACTTTACTCACCAAAGAATCTATCTGAGTGAAGGGGGAAATCTCTCGGTCAGTTCTCTTTTTTTTTTTTTTTTTTTTTTTTTTTGAGATGGAGTTTTGCTCTTGTTGCCTAGGCAGGAGTGCAATGGCGCTATCTCAGCTCACCACAACCTCTGCCTCCTGGGTTCAAGCGATTCTCCTGCCTCAGCCTCCTCAGTAGCTGAGATTACAGGCATGTGCCACCATGCCCGGCTAATTTTGTATTTTTAGTAGAGACGGGGCTTCTCCGTGTTGGTCAGGCTGGTCTCGAACTCCTGACCTCAGGTGATCCGCCCACCTTGGCCTCCCAAAGTCCTGTGATTACAGGCGTGAGCCACTGTGCCTGGCCCGGTCAGTTCTCTTTTACTCTACAATGCAAGGCAGTGGTCTGCTTTTTTTTTTCCCCCTCTCTGTTTCTAAGGTCTTGAAAATGCCTGTTTTCACATTTAAGTTCTCAATGTGTAAAACACTGCTTTCAAGCTTATGTTCTTAATAGAGTCCCTTCTGCATTGGCTTTATCTCACCTTTATACTCACAGTTCCTGGGGACTTTGGGTCTGGAGCTCAGAATTTATCTACTGCAAGTGAATGTTACACATTTCACAGTAACCTCTCATCTTTGTAGATAATTTGGTTTCCTGTAGCTTTTCACATCCTTTCTCTCATTCGACCCCTACCCTCACACAACAATCCTTTCGGGAAGCTGGAACCATATCATGTATCCATCAGCCAACCAAGGAAAGAGACATATCGAGAGGGTGAGTGACTCATCCAGAGTCCAACATCAGGCAAATAGCAAGACCAGAACCCGGGACCCCTGACCCTTTCTTCTTAAACTCCTCCAGAGCCAAGGGGATACACTGGACCTGCAACTTGGACTAACGTAGATTATTTCCAGCTTGTGAGTGAACTGTGAGTGGAATGAACTTGTTCTTATTCTCTTAGGAAGATCAAAGCTCCGTATGTACCCTGAGCCCTAGTTTTGAACGTCTCTGTCGTATGATTATTTGTTTACTGCATCATTCTTGTTATGACAATGCATGGTTGGCAGAAAACTTGCTGGCATTTACAAAGCTTGCCTCAAATCTGGTGCCATGAAGCCATGACAACTTCATTGACAACTACTGGCCACAGAGCCAATACATCGGAGGAAATAGAGTGATGAATGTGATGGCAGCGGCCATCAAATTTCCTCAAATCTTGGGCAGTAATCAGAGAGAGAGCTAGGGCTGGTGCCACTAGGTAGTAAAAAGAGAAGGGCTTCGGCCTTGGAGACAATGAATGATGGAAATGTTGGGTCCCAGGGATGACAGGCTGCCCGTAGCTCAGAAAGGCAGCACATCGGGAGTCCGGCATGCAGTTTTGCCCGTTTAGAGTTTTCTGGGTTTCTGCATCCTATTGTTATTTTTCACATTCCGAGTCATTCCAGTCCCCTTCTGTGTAAGTTGCTGTGGAAGTATCCAGGGCTAATAATCACAATATTAAGCGGCCATTGACATGGCATGGGCACTGACCAATTAGAAAAAGCTGGGACAGAGCTGTTGGGCAGGCTCCTGATAGACTCTGGCTGGGCTAGGTCTTCAACCTCCTGATGTTGGCCTGTAGGGGACCTTGTGATCTGGGACAGGGGTGGGCAGCCAGGGTGGAATTTCCAAGCTTCTTGTTGCTAGGGCTATTTACTAACCAGGATGAAATCATTTCACTGTTTTACAGACTAGAATAGTCTCACTGGTATGTGCTCCTGTGTACGTCAGATTTAAAAGTATCGAAACCATTCTCTGCTTGATAAATTATTCTCTTTACAGCTTCACTGAGTGAGATGACATTATCTTCATGCCTGCGGAGGTTTGGCACCAAATCTTTCTGCTCATGCACCTTTGGTGTCCTGCTGCACAGTCATCTCTGGGCAATGCCCCTCTCTCTGCATGTTCCCCTCCCTCGTGCTCTGGTGCCCTATGGGAGAAGTAAAAAGACCTTAAGGGTCTCCTTGTCTCCTTGGAGATTTTACTTTAAATTTTTTTTTTATTTTATGTGTTTTCTATTTCAATAGCTTTAAGTGGTACAAGTGGTTTTTAGTTACATGGATGAATTGTGTAGTGGTGAAGTCTAGGATTTTAGTGCATCCCTTACTCAAGTAGCGTGCACTGTACCCAGTAGGTAGTTTTTCAGCCCTCAACCCCTCCTATCCTCCCCAACTTCTGGGTCTCCAATGTCCATTATACCATTCTGTATGCCTTTGTGTACCCATAGCTTAGCTCCTACTTATAAGCGGGAACATGTTGCATTTGATTTTCAATTGCTGAGTTACTTCACTAAGAATAATGACCTCCAGTTCCAACCAAGTTGCTGCAAAAGACATCATTTAGCTCTTTTTTATGGCTGAAGAGTATTCCATGGTATATATATATTACATTTTCTTGGCCTTCTCATCAGTTGATGAGCACTTAGGTTGATTCCATACCTTTGCAATTGTGAATTGTGCTGTGATAAACATACTCACGCAGGTGTGTTTTTGATGCATTGACTTCTTTTCCTTTATGTAAATTCCAAGTAGTGGGATTGGCGGATAGAATGGTAGATCTACTTTTTAGTTCTTTGAGAACTCTCCATACTGTTTTCCACAGAGGGTGTATGAATTTACATCCTTCTTGGAGATTTTTAGCAGGGCAATTTTGTGGTTGCCAAAGTCAAGATCTGCCTTAGACCAGGTCTTCCTAGGGCCCTAGCTCTGCAATAGGAAGGAGCAAGAGGGACGAGCTGCCTGTAAGATTAAATCTTGCCCTCTTAGATTAATTTGGGACTAGGAAAGGGTGGCCCCATAATTTACTATTTAAACTGGGACATATTTGACAGCACTTAGTGACATTCTTAACAATTCTCACGGAGCTACACATTGGACTGTTGTGGACAAACTTGGACATATGGTCATCTTAGATCAAAATAAGCCTTGAATCAGTTCAGAATTTCAGAACCGCCTTTGCTTCTTGGATGTGCTTGGCACTGTGTAAGCACACGCAATGTCTGTATGCCTTTACCTGCAGACCAGGCTGCAGCAGAGCACCTCCCCCTTTTCTGGTGCCTACAGCCTCAAGTTCAGAGCTTAGGGCATAATATATCATTCAATAAATGCTTATTCAATGGATGAATAAATACAGAGGTGAGTTCCACTGTTCAGTAAGAGCGGGGTGAAAGTGATACTCTTCTAGCCAGAATGCGACTAGACAACAGAAGATTTATAAGACCCATTTCCAGGGCTCTCTTTGCAGAGCTGCCATAGCTGAAATCTTCTTTTATTGAGGCTCCACGCTAGTGGTAAATTATTTGACACAATGGGGTATTCTTTCTACTTCTTTCTACTCCAACCCATCCTGCATTTCACCATAATCATAATAACAATAATCTTCTCCAAATGCTTTAATTATAATTTCAATAAATACAGAGCTAGAAGGAAATTAAAAATAATTTTGGCTATTACCCTCATCTCAAAAACCTTCCACTGCCACTCTGCCTATACAATAAAAATATGCTATCTACTGAGACAGGCACCAGACTAGGAAGAAAGGTTGGGAAATGTTACAATTTCAGTATTGAGCATATTAAGTTTTAAATTTTTCATCATAGTGTGAAAGTTGTCAGAGTCAAATGAAGTCACCTGTGTTAGGAACCCTGACAAATGGAGCCAGGAAAGGCCATAAAGGGAGAATTCTCACACACAAATGCCTGATAACCAAAGCTATCACAGAATACTTTGCAAAAACCACAATCTTGCACAAAGGCCATCACAACCTTACACAAAAAATACTTCAGTGAAGTTATCTGCCCAGCAACTGCCTGTCTAGCCTCGGACTGGTGCCACCCTTGTTATTGATAACTGTAGCCAAGAATAATGATCTCAAAACAATTACGTTATCCTCCTGATTTTTCCTTTAACAATCTTTGTTTTGCTTTACCTCCTCGAATACGCACATAGTTTACTATGGCATGTGTATTTTCATTGCAATGTCCATCCCTGAATAAAAATAATTTTCTTTTCATTTATTAATGTATTTGTTTTTTGAAACTGGGTCTCCCTCTGTCACCCAGGCTGGAGTGCAATGGCACAATCACAGCTCACTGTAGCCTTGACCTCCCAGGCTCAAGTGACCCTCCCACCTCAGCCTCCTAAGTAGCTGGGACCACAGGTGTACACCACCATGCTCAGCTAATTAAAAAACATTTTTGTAGAGATAGGGTCTTCCTATGTTGCCCAGGCTGGTTTTGAACTCCTGGGCTCAAGCAATCTTCTCGCCTTGGCCTCCCAAAGTGCTGGGATTACTGGAGCTGTTGTGCCCAGCTCAATTTCTTTTAGGGAGTCTCTCTGTCTGTTATCTAGGTTGACAGTGGTTATCTTCAAATATATCCAACAGTTGAGAGAATAGTATAACTCTAAAGCCAATATACCTAGCATATAGTTTATATAGTTGTTGAGATATGCTGGGTGTTGCTTTATCTCTACCTGCATCCTGCCCTCCTTCCTTGAATTACTTTGAAGCCAATCCCAGCTATCATTATCATCTTACCTATAAATATTTCAGTGTAGTTGTAATAAACTTGATATGCTTTGCTCGATCAGGTAAAATGTGAAATAGTCAACTAGATATGTGGACCTAGAGCTTACAGTGGATGAAGAACTCACAATAACAAACGCCTCACGGAACTCACAATAACGAAAGAGACAATGCATGTTGATAGCTTGTGTTTATGTGGTGCTTACTAATATCCCAGACAGTCTTTTGAGAACTTTGCATGCATCAGCTCATTTTATTCTTACTAAAACACTATGAGGTATTTATCCTATGTTGCAGATGAGGAAACTTGAAGACAGAAATTCAGTAGTAACTTATGCAAGGTCAGGCAGCTAGTGAAGAGGTAAGAACCAGGTAACCTCATTCACTATGCTTTTTTGATTCAGAAGAATCCAAAGTGATAAAGGTTACATTATGGGATAATCAAGTCCTATGATGGTATCAAAGTGACAGTGATCAACTCTGCCTGGGGACAGGGAAGGGAAGTGGTGGTTTCAGGGAAGGTTTCATGTAAAGAAACAGTGAAAAATCAGCCTTGAATTCCTAAGAAGGATACCATTTGAGAAATTTAAAGCTGAATCAAAGGCGTGAAGAAGTCTCAATAAAATGCTTTGTCGATAGATGACTTGATAAAAAGAACATAACCTAACATGCTCATGTGACTGACTCATAAGAAAAGTAAGCAGGTATCTAGATCATTAAAAGATGATTTATCTTGCAATAATCCAATGATATTGGAAATCTTAAAGCAACACAACAACACTAGGACAGAAATCTCTAATTTTCAAGTGGCATTGATTGAACTGAAATTTTGAGGTATGACTAAAAATAGCAAGAAAGCAATTCTAACAGATTTTCACTAAATTTTCAGAAGTTAACTACATTTAACATTATAATACAATGAAATAATTCCACTGAAAATCACTGTACTTACTGAATGTAAGCTTATTTTATAGTTCAAATGCCCTATCAACCTCCTACTCTTTAATGCATGGTCACAAATGACCTCTCACCATGTCAAGAATTCCCTCTTGATGTATGGATAGGAATAACCCACCTGTCAACTTAGGTGTCTTCCTTGTGTTTGAACAATTTGCTAAGGTACCATTACCAATCGACCCTGCTCTGACATTGGTCACCGGTGTGGTTCTTTCCATATAACCTCATCGTTTTGCCCTGATCAGCGGCCACAGGCAGGCAGTAACCGTTGGTTTGGTGAAAGACAAAATGCCCTAGACAATTAAGGAGATGATCTTATTCAGGCTACTACAATAAGGAAAATGTTCATTAATGAAGACTGTCTCAAGGAAAGGAAGGAAACCTGGGGTTTCATAGAGACAGTAAACAAGGGAGCAACTGAATCTTTTGGTAGTCATGAGGATGGAGATGGTCTTTTCTTAACCATGAAGAAAGGGTGGAAAGGAAGAGGCTCGAGCAGGGTGTTTCCTTGCAGTTAGCCATTTCTCAGGACACAAAGAATGAGGAGATATTTTGAGGGACACAGGACTCAGATAAATTTCTTCATTGTCAGTCCCTGGTTTTTTTCAAGATGAATATCATTCATCAAGGAAACACTCAATGACAATCATAAATCTCCTGAGTGGGGTGAAGTAAGGTCTCAGAAATCATTTCTCAAAGAGTCTTAGTGTTATTCGGACAAAGACAGTTGAAGCATCTGTAGAAAGATAATGTCAAGGTCAGTTGTGTTGGGATTCTGGGGACTAGGCACCGTAAAAGAGGATTGCTTAAAAAGAAAAAGAGAAATATAAGTATAAAAGGTTTACTAAAGAGCCAGAAATTGAATAATGAGGGTAACCAGTTCAGTGGATTCCAAGAGGTCAGTGGAGGAAAATCTTTCAGTTCTGTAACACTGCTCTTTGAGTCTCTTAGAGCTACTGAATAGGACATCAGTGCTTTCAGTGGTGCTGTCCACAGGGCATGTCTGACTCTAGCATTCCACAGGCTTCTTAGTGGCCCAGGCAGTGCCTTTCCAGGGAGAAACTGGGCCCATGAATGGTCTGCTACAGTGGTGAGTCCTTTGAAGTATATATAGCAAATTTTAGCTTATAATGCTTCTTCAGATCCTAGGGAAAAGGACCCAGATACAAGACAACCTTGAGTCCTTACAGGGATCCGGGTAGTCAGATTTTAGTTCTCGGTGACACTGAGTCAGGCAGCAGTGAGAAAAATTGAAAAAACTGTTGGAAACCAGAAAGATTGAAGATCTGAAAAGGATTGATAATTTGGGAAGTTTACAGGATCCAGTCCAACTTACAGATAGGTACAAAAACTAACAGCTAGGGAGAAAGTCAATTACAATTCCACCAGACAAGACAGTTTGCCTATTAATCATTACTCACATTAAAAAAAAACCCAAACAGCTCAAAAACAATGAACAAGGTTAGAATGAGATAACCTGGGAGACTGTGCTATCTGATGTATAGTTTTTCATTAAAATGCAAAATTTATTTGTGTAGTCACTGACTCTTGATCAAGAATAATCTCAAAGAAAGATTATTCTTGCCATTACAAGCCATCTCATTAGATCTAGAATGGTTATTCAGATTGGTACAGCAAGAATGGTAATTTACCATATTGGCCTTTTAAGTTTGCTTTTTGGAAATTTTCATAAGGAGGCTCAGATTGGACTGTTAAAAAAAATCTCTCTAGACAGGAAGCCAAGCCAATAACTTGCTACCAGATTTCACCTGTCAAGTACCTATAAATCTGGGCAAATTTATTTTTTCTTCAAGTCCCCCAAATATCCTAGGATTCCTAGGCATGCCAGGAAAGGACCTTCTTTACCTCTTTACTCACCTAAAAGGAAGAGGATCTGTAAATCAGGTATCAGGCCTGTTTTCCCGGGAAGGCTTTGTAAGCATCATTTCCGTAAAGCCAACCTTAGCTTCTTAAAAGCATCTGGTCATATCTGATTAAATGAGCATCATTCTCAACTATGACATTCCAAGCACTGCCTTAGTTGTATAACCTGTATTTTCAATTTTGTCATGGTAACAAGAAGGACAGATTCTTATTGAACCTATGCAAATGATTATGTTGCCATGAAAATAAAAATACTCAATAAGAGTTTCCAAATTCTGGAGGAGTCAGGCAGAGAGAATCAAATACCACTATCAAATGTTTCATTTCGTAAGTGATATCTTATTCTCTGAGTTTATAAACTGAGTTTCAGTTTATAAAAGCAAAATCTAAATTGCTATGTATTATGTATTATAGACCACTTAAGAGGAAAAAGAAAGGGCTTCCCTATATATCCAGAAAACAGAATATCAGAATGATCATATTCCAAACAAAAAGCACAAACAGTCCTCGTCAGCTCATTCAGTGCTATGTAGTTAATTTGTATTCCACTCAGTCTTGAGTGAAGAGTCTCATGAACCCCTTTGTTTCTTGGCTAGAGTTCTAGGAATCCTAACTCAGTCCACTGGTATGTTCTCAATATTGTTTAAGTGACACCATCAGAAGCCAGTACCCAAAAGTATCTGGCAAAAGTGAAGGACAATCTGGCATCATCCTTTTCTACAGGGCTTTGAGAAGATACCACGCCGAGGACAAGCACTATGGCCTCTAGCTGATTTGCAAAGACTGAGATGCATCAGAGTAAAACAAAGACTATCTGTAGATGACAAAAGACATAAAGTGGCACTGTGGTTAACTTCTTACTGATAATTTTCAAAAGTGAAAGATCTGGTGACAGGTCATTAGAACAATAATGCAACTGACAAGGAAATCTGGCTGTTCGTGTGGAGTACAAAACAAGATCAGGAAGTCGATCCAAAAGGTTTTAGACAAGAAGATAATTTCCCCTGTTTTCAAAGAGTGGCTATTACATTTGATTTATAAAATTGGGTTGTATTAGTCCATTCTCAGGTAGTGCTATAAAGAACTACCTGAGACTGGGTAATTTATAAAGAAGTTTAATTGACTCTCCACAGGTTTAACAGAAAGCATGGCAAGGAGGACTCAGGAAACTTACAATCATGGTGGAAAGCGAATGGGAAGCAGGTACTTTCTTCACAATGGTGGCAGGAGAGAGAGAGAGCCAAGGGGGAGGTGCTTTTAAAACATCAGATCTTGTGAGAACTCACTCACTATCATGAGAATAGCAAGGGGGACGTCTGCCTCCACTGAGCCAAACTGTATCACGGGTAAACATTATTTTTACAGAGAAAAAAAATCTTGATAAATAACTGTAATAATCCTGACATAATATACCATGAATATATCAAGCATATAGTTAGAATATACCACGAATATATCAACAATATATTCTGAATGAGTCTGGAGTACATCCTAAATATCTATATGTTAATAAAACTCCATAGGGAGGTGATATGTATCCCCATTTGAAAATCACTGGCCTAGAAGATTCTAGGTTCAAATCAAAGAAGCAAAGTTGTGACCAAGTTAATATTTTTAAAAATAACTGAAATTATGACTGATAGCACTGTACTATTGTATAACATTAGGCACAGCAGAACTAGGACCGTGACAAATAGAAACATATGAAGAGTGATGGTATGGACAATTCTTTAGGGATTTCTACAGCACACACTTTCTGAAATATTAAGAACACACATTTTAGCTAGAGAAAGCTAAGCAAATCTGATTTGCTAACTCATCAGTTGTAACATATCAAATACACCTAATTATTTCCAGCATCTCTCTTTTTCATCTTTGTAGATAAAAGTAAAAATCTTGTTACTTTTCCAGGCCCCCTGCCCTTGAAAAATTACAGAAATAGTTTTAGGTGCAAAAGAAATCATTAAGATTGTGTTTGGGGAAGACAAACACCAAAAGTTGTTAGGCGATTTGAACACTTGGTCAGGTAAGACTATGGGTTACTGAGAAACAATACTTGGCTACGTATTTGACTAAAACAACAGTAAAAAATTTAAAAAGTAAATATAAGAGGTAACATGATTTTAAAGAAGCTTAGCTCTTTCCTAAGAAACTCTGTTTTCTTAAATAATCAAGGACATTGTTGTGGTTCGAATGTTTGTGTCCCCCCAAAAATTCATATGTTGAAAGCTAATTGCCAATGTGATGGTATTTGCAAATGGAGCCTTTGGGAGGTGATTAGGTCATGAAGGCAGACCCTCATGAATGGGATTAGTGCCCTTAGAAAAGAGGCCCAAGACAGCTTCCCTGAGCCTTCTACCATGGGAGGACACAGCGAAAAGGCACCACCTATGAGCCAGGAAGCGGCCCTCACCACCAGACATTGAATCTCCTAGTGCCTTGATCTTGGACTTCCCAGCCTCTAGAACTGTGGGAAATAAATTTCTGTTGTTTATAAGCCACCTAGTTTATAGTATTTTGTTATAGTATCCCAAACAGACTAAGACATGATAAAGTCAGCATAAACCAGGTTATTCTAGTAAGACACAGACACTTTGTTTTCTAGGCAGATTGCACAGAAGATAAAGAATAACCATTTACAATCTTTTATCAAAAGCAAACCAATAATCCAAGAAAAAAATTCATCTAACAGAAAGAAAACAAAATTCTAGTTTTCTAAAGCTCTTTTTTTTTTTTTTTTTTTAAAGACAGAGCCTCACTCTGTTGCCCAGGCTGGAGTGCAGTGCTGTGATCTCAGCTCACTGCAACCTCCACCTTCCAGTTTCAAGTGATTCTCATGCCTCAGCCTCCCGAGTAGCTGGGACTATAGGCGCACACCACTGCGCCTGGCTAATTTTTGTAGTTTTAGTAGAGACAGGGTTTCACCATGTTGGCCAGGCTGGTCGTCAAACGCCTGATGTCAGGTGATCCACCTGCCTTAGCCTCTCAGAGTGCTGGGATTACAGGCATGAGCCCCTGTGCCCAGCCTCTAAAGCTGTTTTTGAAAATTTTATATGTATACCCATTAAACTTTACCTAACTTTGGCCATGACAAAGAAAATTCCTTTTCTGAGAAGCTCCTATACTTTTCTGTGTTCATGTGTATCCCTACTAGTGTAACTTCTCAAAATGCCAGAAATTCATTAATAGATATATACAGATTTTTACCACATAAAATAAGAGGCAAATTATATAAACTTAAAATGATGTTTAGCAATTAACGTTCAGTATTCTGCTTTTCTCAGAAATGATCTAGGCAGCTACTGGATATCCATTCATTAACTCAATTTATTATTGGCCCAAGGTTTTAAGTTTCCTAAAGACTTTGCAAATTATCTTCAAGCTGACACATTGTATAACATAATTACTGCTGAAATAAAATTTGTCAAAATAAGTCTTCAAATTACTTAAACACAAATTCGCATTTTTTCATCATTTTAAACATTTAGTAGAAGTGATGCTAGCTTCCTCAATTAGTAAATCTGTATAAGTTTAAAAAATATTTACAAATATAACAAAATCTGTGCTTATGCAATATTTAACACTGATAAATCAGAGAAAACTTAGCTGTATTTATTAAATCAAAATTATTAAGCTAGACTCATTTGCCAAAAAAGTACCTAAATTACATAAAATTAGATTTCTAAATTATTTCTGAGTTAATATCTATAACAATACCTTTTTTAATCCCCACACTGAAAGTATTAGAGGTTCAATTTTCTTAATTTCTTTCTCTTCATAAAGGGATATTCTTAATAAAGGAATATTTAGTCAATATAAATGCTTATTTATCTCTAAGCAAATCAGACTAGAGATTCTTTAAGACATTTCCTAATCTAGCTTATTGATATTATCAGGAGATAGAAAAATATTATACACTCACACGATGAGAAGTAAAGGACTTTCTAAATACAGACATACTCACAGAGAAAGCTTATAATTTCATTTCTAAAATTTCAGTCAGATGTCAAATATAAACCAACAAATACAAAACCCGCCAGTCCAGATATTAACTTCCTGGTTGGCATAATATTCTTAATAGATTTGAACTAAAAATAGACAGACAGAGAGGAGATTCTAGCTAAATTCTGTCACCTTTCACTCAACAGAGACAATTACCTCTATAAACCATCAGTTGCTTAAAGAGATCATCAAATGTTCAGACCATGAAAATAAAAGTTGTCGCTAGAAATTGAGTAAGTGCTCAGGAAAAGTAACAATCAAATCTACTGTGCTACTGATGAACAAAAGTCACATGAGTTGGACTCACCTTTGGGTCCCCGAATCTGTAGTCCGGAACACAGAGGGCTCCAGCTGCCTAGATACCCCTGTGGAATAACAGAGCTCTGAAGTGAGGCCCAAGCTATTCAAGTTATTGCACCCAACAGAGGGAGTCCTTGTAAGGAGAATGGGGTAAGAAAGGGAGCCTGGTCAGCACAAATGTATCAGGAAAGTGGCTCAAGTGCAGTAAAATGACTAAGAGTATGGTCATTGTATTCAGATATACCTGGATTCAAATCATGGCTCCACTGCTTATAAGCCCCTTGGGAAGCTATTTTACCTTCCCAAGTCTCCATCTATTCATCTATAATATGGAGATAATAATACCTACCACACAGTGTGATTGTAGATTACCATTCCATATGAAACTCTGGAGACCGGCCCTTTATTCATCACACAAACCCTTCACCATATGACCCTAACTTACTTTTCCTGTTTTTGTTTGTTTGTTTGTTTGTTTGTTTGAGACAGGGTCTCTCTCTGTTGCCCAGGCTGGACTGCAGTGGCATGAACACAGCTCACTACAGGCTCGACCTCTTGGGCTCAAGCGATCCTCCCACCTCAGCCTCCTGAGTAGCTGGGACTACAGGTGCACACCACCATGCCCAGCTAATTTTTTTATTTTTTGTAGAGATGCGTCTCACTTTGTTACCCAGGCTGGTCTCAAACTCCTGGCCTCAAATAATCCTTCTGCCTCGATCTCCCAAAGTGCTGGGATTACAGGTGTGAGCCACCATGCCCAGCCCTCCTGTTTTATCTTCACCCTACATTGGTACTATCGTAGGGGAACATTTCTCAAATTTTGTGTGCAACAGAGTTAACCTAGAAAAATTGATAAAATGAAGATTCCCAGGTCACAAACCCCAGAAATTAAGACCTAGTAAATGATAGAACCTAGAAATCTTTGTTTTAGCAAGAACCCAGGTGGTTCAGACATAGGTGTTTTTTAGATTATGTTTAATTTTAAAAATATACCACGTGAGCAGCCGGGCGCAGTGGCGCATGCCTGTAATCCCAGCATTTTGGGAGGCCGAGGTGGGCAGATCACGAGGTCAGGAGATAGAGATCATTCTGGCCAACATGGTGAAACCCCGTCTCTACTAAAAATACAAAAATTAGCTGGGCGTGGTGGCGCACACCTGTAGTCTCAGCTACTCAGGAGGCTGAGGCAGGAGAATCGCTTGAACCCGGGAGGTGGAGGTTGCAGAGCTGAGATCACGCTACTGTTCTCCAGCCTGGTGCCAGAATGAGACTCCATCTCAAATGTATATATACACACGTATATATACATATAAGTGTATATATATGTATATATGTGTATATATACATATATTACATATATAACATAACACATATATTACCTCTATAACATACATATTACATATATATTACATAGATGTTACATATATTATATATACACGTATACATATATCTATATATACACGTATATATAGATATATATAAAATGTTAGCTATTCCTCACCCTGGCTGTGAACTTTCGTTTCTCTCCACCCAGGCTTTTGAAATGCCACTTTCTCATAGAAGAATGGCTTTTCTTCAAGGTTCTGCTGGTGAGCTGTTTTTTAAATGTGTTCTCTTCTGTGAGGCTTTCCTGGACTTCTCAAGGCAAAAAGGCTTTGTGGTCTCTCCTCTGGTATTTGTTAACAAGTCTGATTCCCCACTTGACAGAGAGCTCTTGTAGGGGAGGCACGGCATCTTTTTTTTATCTCTGTGTTCTCAGCATCCAGAGAAGGCACGCTTTGAATGTCTGTTAATTGAGATGACAATCCCAACCCCATATTGCAAGGAGAATGATTGGAATCTCTCCCATACTTGGCTTTAAAGTCATCTACAAGCCTGAACTGAGAGTCTTAGAGACTTTCAGGCCAGAAGGTACTAAGAGGTTTGTCAAGTCACAGACTGAAGAAAATATTTGCAATACATATATCTGATAAAAGACTGGGCATCTCTCTGGAATATCAGTTTCTAAGAAATGGTGCTAACACATCCTTATAATAAATCAGAAAAACGGTGCCTGGTAACTCAGGTTTCCACATGCAACTCCTTTCATTACTGGAAATAAAAATTGTTTTACTTTGACCAAAGTAGATGATGTCTTCCAGTATAAAAAAAAAAAAAACACTCCTCCCCAGCATCAACCTACCTCTGTTGTTTTTGTACATGAATATGTTATTAGCAGCAATGACAGACGGCTAACATCTGAGTCCAGCCACTTGACAATCATTCGAAGTCAGCAGGAACAGACGTGCTGAAATAAAAAAAGACGAGATGAAGTGCTCTACCTAGGGAACACCGCCTTGCAATATATACGTGTCACTGACCTCTACTTAGGAATGTGAGTGCAAATTGTCCTCTGGCTATGGGCAACAACATAAGCCACGAAATGAAAGAGCTCCAAATAAATTAAAATGATAAATTTAGCGATTTAGTGTGAACATAAAAAGCTTTACAACTTCACGAATTAAAAAAACAGTTTCAATGTTAGAAGTCAAGAGAGCAGCTCCCTTTAGGGGGTGGGGTGGTAGTGGGCAGAGGAGAGCCTGGGGGACTTCTGTCTTCTGTTTCTTGGTCTGGGTGCTGAGAACATAGGCGTGTTCACTTTGGAGGAATGCTCCAAGCTGCACATCAAGATATATGCTCTTTCCCGTATGTGTTATGTTTCAAAAAAGCTTACCCCTTCCTCCTCTCAAAAAGCATTTTTTCCCTTTCATTTTTTTATTTCTTCTTCTTCTTCTCTCTCTCTCTTTTTTTTTAACTAGATACACGCTGAACAAACAAAATATGCAAAGAATAATAGTTTGAAGGGGTGCCAGCATGCTAGCGTGCCTCTGGAAGCGTACATGCCTTGGTCTGGACTGGGCATCAGATGTGCATTTTCACTTGATGTAATTCATTTCCTTGTTCCATGACCCAGCTTTCCTCTTTGGGGTAAAGGCCCGTCCAGCATTTTTCTTGGACAAGGTCTCCACCTTTGCTGCATCCAGGGAGACTCCTTCAGTGCCACGGTCCTGCCTCAGGTTAGTTTCCTTGTACGTGTTGCCTGGCTTTGTCAGGTCTTAATGCCATCCTGAAGCTGGTAAAATGAGCCAAGTGACTTCATCTCTCATGGCACACCTTGAGGACATTACTTGGGCACAAGCCAATTCACTGCTCACAGCCCGAGAGACATTTTTTTCCCATGAGCTAGCTCCTCTCCTCCTCTCTCACAAATAACTTCCTCTATGGGAAAGGACACATCAGAGAACAAGGAGCATTGTAACGGGTGAGAAATATGCTTGACATGGGGAAGGAGATGCCGTCCTCACTCCCTCCTTCCCCACCCTCCCACACTCATCTGTCAACTCTAATTTCTCACTAATGCTTGGGTTTCACTCTAAGCTCCCTTTGCTTGCTCGTGCCCACCAACAGAAATATCCAGGAAAAGAAAGAGCATCAGGAATGACTGGCCTGTGTGCAAGCAATTCCTTGTTGTTGCTGACTGCCTTCTGCAGCTTGGCGAATTTGACTCTTGGAATGCACGGACAGAAGTAGCATTTTTCTCTCCACCAGAAGTCTGACACTGACCATGTCAATGAGCGTCAATTGGCAGTACGTGTGTGTTGGTTGACCCTTTACATCAAGACCAAGCTAAGCATTTGCTTTCCTTTGGTCAATTCCACTGGTCCTTCCTTTTGGTCAATCCCATCGCTCTCTGACCCAGGGCCAGAGGAACATAGCATTTCTCCTAACTTGGACAATGTTGCAACACCAAAAAGGCTTGTACTGAAGTACGGAGGAGGTAGATGTGAAGAGTCATCCTTTTGTCAGATTGCAAAGGTGTTGCAGCCCATTAGTTTCAGGATGTTTTTATTTTGTTCCCTTCCAGTAAATGTTTTCAGAGATTTTGCCTCGGGTTTTTAAAGATGTTTTATAAGTTATGGGTCTCTTTAAAATTTTTAATCATCTTAATGAGGTATAATTTATATACAATAAAATGCCTAGACAGTGATCCCATTTGATGGATTTTACAATTATATATACCCATCCAAACCAAGATAGAAAACACCTCCTTCACCCAGAAAACCCCTCATTTCCTTTTCCAGTCAGTTCCCTCACACACACTCACTCCTGCCCTACCCCCAGCCCCACTAGAGCCTAGGAGAAGTCACTGTTCTGATTTCTTTCACCATAAGTTAGCTTTGCTTCTATAAAATGTAGCACCTCAGTATATATTCTTTTAGGTCTTGCTAATTTTGCTCAACATAATGTTTTTGAGATTTGTTCATGTTATTGCCTTTGTCAGCAGTTTGTTCTACTTTATTGCTGAGTAATATTCCATTGTACAAATATATGACAATACATTTATCAATTCTCCTGTATGAGTACAATGGAATTGTTTCTATTTGGAGCTGTTACTAAGAGTGCTGTGAGCACTCTTGTAAAAGTCTTTTTTATGTTCTTTTTTTCCATTTCTCTTGCATAAATATCTGAGAGTAGAATTGCGGGGCCATAAGTAGGTTTATGGTTAACTTTATATGAAAGTTCCAAAATTTTTCCAAACTGGTTATACCATTCTTATATTCTTACCAGCAGTGCCTGGGATATCGAATTGCTTCATGCTTGGTATTGTCAATATTTTTATTTTACTTAGTCCAACATTTGGTATTATCACAGTTTATTTACTTCAGCTATGATGATTTGTGTGAAATGCCATTTCACTGTGGCATTAGTTGGCATTTCCCTGATGATCTACGGTGTTGAGCTTACTGGCCATTCGTTCTTCCTATGTGATAGGCACGTTCATGTATTTTGCCTGTTTTTACAAATTGACTTTTTTGTGTTTTTATTGTTGGTTTTTAAGAGTTCTCTATACATCCTGGATATGAGTCCTTTATTAGACATATGTATTGCATAGGTATTTTCCAGTTTGTAGCTTGAGAATTTATTTTTTAATGATGGCTTCTGATGAACAGAAATTATTAATATTTATGAAGTCTGACATCATTTTTTTTAAATTACTCCTTTTTATGTCCTGCTTAAGACATCTTTGTCTTCCCAAATGTTGTGCTATATTCTCAAGGTTCCTCTTAGAGACTTTAGGTTTTTAGTCTTTATGTTTTTGTCTATGATCCATATCAAATTAATTTTTGTGCACGGTATAAGGCGGGGGGTGGTCAAGACTCATTTTTTCCCCCAATATCCAGGTGTTCTAGCACTATTTGTCTAAAAGTCTTTCATTTCCCCATTGGAATGACTTGGTGCTTTTGTTAAGAAGCCATTAGTATATGTGTGTGTGTGGCTATTTCTGGGTTCTCTATTTTGTTCCATTGATCTATTTCTGGACTCCTTTCATTTCCATAGATCACTATCACAATATCTATAGCTGTAGAGTATGTTTTCAGATTGATTAGTGTAAGATCTCTAACTTTGTTCTTTTTTATCAAGATCGTTTGGCTGTTTTGTGCCCTCTGGGTTTCTGTATTTATTTTAGAAACAACTTGGCACTTCCTTTAAAAAATGATGCTTGAATTTTGATCGAATTGGGTTGAATTTATCCTCGATTTAGGAAGGATGGATATCTTAACAACATTCAGTCTTACAAAAACAGTATGCCTTTTTGCCGGGCACAGTGGCTCACGCCAGTAATCCCAACACTTTGGGAGGTTGAGGTGGACAGAACACAACAGGCCAGGAGTTCGAGACCAGCCTGGTCAACATGGTGAAACCCCATCTCTACTAAAAATACAAAAATTAGCCAGATGTGATGGTGCATGCCTGTAATCCCAGCTACTTGGGAGGCTGAGGCACAAGAATCACTTGAACCAGGGGGGTGGAGGTTGCAGTGAGCTGAGATTGTGCCACTGGACTCCAGCCTGGGCGACAGAGCAAGACCCTGTCTCAAAATAAATAAATAAGTAAACAGATAAAACTAGACTAAATAAAAGAAACCAGTGTGGCTTTTTATTAAGTTAGGTTTTCAGTTTCTTTTAACAATGTTTTGTAGTTTTCAATGTAGAGATCTTGCATATTTCATTATATTTATTCCTAGCCATTTAATTGTGTGGTCATATTTTAAAATTTTTATTTGCCAGTTTTTATTGTTAGTGCAGAATATATACTGACTTTTACCCTAAAGCTTTGCTGCACTCTTTTATTACTTTTAAAAATATTTGTGTAGATTCCATGGAGTTTGCTATGTCACATGTTCTTTGAATAACAATGATTTTTTCCTTTAGAATGTTTGTGCTTTTTATTGCATTGACTTACTCTATAAAATTACCATATCTTCTAGAATATTGCTGAATAGAAGTGTTGAGTGAATGTTCTTGCCTTGCTCCTAATCCTAGTGGAAAAGGATTTAATGTTACTAGTTTAAAGAATAATCTGTAATTTGATTGAGAAAATTTCCTCTATTTCTAGTTTGCTGATAGTTTTTATCGTGAATCAGTGTTGAATTTCATCAAGTTCATTTTCTGCATCTATTGAGATGATTTTTTTCTCCTTTATTCTCTTAATGTGGCAATTTACACTGATTTATTTTCACACATTGAACCAATCTTACATTTCTGAATATATCCCACTTGGTCATGACTTATTTTTTCATTATAGCTTTTTGTGTGTTGCCAGATTTGATTTGCCAATATTTCCTTAAGGCATATATAGGTGTGTGTGTGTGTATATATATACACACACATATATATATATATACATATATACATATATATACACATATATACATATATACATATATACACATATATATACATACATACCTATATATACATATGTGTGTATATATATACATATGTGTGTGTGTATATATATATATATATTTATAAGTTTAAAAGTTATTTCGAAAATATAGGCTGAGTATCCCTTACCCAAAATGTTTGGGACCCAAGGTGGTTTGGAATTTGGACTTTTTTTGGATTTTGAATAGTTAGATAAATATAATAAGATATCTTGGGGATGGGACCCACGTCTAAACACAAAATGCATTTATATTTTATATATACCTTACATACATAGCCTGAAGGTAATTTTACATAATATTTTAAATAATTTTGTGCATGAAACAAATTTTGATTGTGTTTTGACTATGACCTGTCACATGAGGTCAGGTGTGGAATTTTCTACTTGTGGTGTCCTGTTGGCACTCAAAATGTTTCAGGTTTTGGATCATTCTGGATCCAGAATGGATCCAGGTATAGGTTGGATTCCACCTATACCAACGTTTTTGCCATCTTAGGGTCTGGTTTTATTGACTTTTTTTTCTTTTTTGCTTGTTTGTCTTCTTGCTTTTTTGTGTTTGTTTTTAAATTTCAGATTGAACGCCAGACATTAGGTATTTTTTTAAAAAACAGTAGAGACTGAGACACCACTTATTTACCCTCAGAAAAGGGCATGCCTCATCTTCTGTCCAGTTATTCGTATAGGAGTTTGGCAGATGAAGTCTGTCGTTGAGGTGGGCCTGAACTTTGTTGTGGCTTTAGTTATGGTAATACAACCCAAATTTGAAATGAAACTACACTCTGATGCCTTTTATTTAGTATAAGCACTGGGTGCCAGAGAGCATCCCTCAGGTCTCCCACTATGACTACAGACTTCAGGAGACCCTATGCCCCTGCACCTCAGGAGAGATCTCTCCCAGCATTCCTGCCCCTTGGCCAGTGGCCAACTGCTATTTCCTGGCACTTGGTGTAAAGCAGGGGCGTGGGAGGGTTTCTCTGAGTTCCCCTGATCCACGATTAGACTAAGGCAGCCCTTCTGCACCTGCAGCTCCTCAGCTCCTCTGCCCCTCCCCCAGATGTAGACAAGGGCACCTCATGCTTAGCACACAGTTCTGAATGCTGGACCCATTTCCTTGGCTTTCCTGTTCCATCCTCAGTCTTAGACAGGCCCAGTGCCACTATGCTCAGGGAGGTCTCTCTCAGACCTCCTGACCCTTCCTGGTGTCAGGCTGCTCTGCCTAATAGGCAGTGTAAGTTCTGGAGCATAGCAAGATTACTTTTGGTTTTCCTGCTTTGTCTTCACTCTTAGGTTGATCATGTTAGCCTGCATTTCCCTGGATTTCTAACCCTTTTCCATATGTGGACTGTCACTTTCTGCCACTTAGTGTAAGGCCTGGAGGGTGAGAAAGTTTTCTCTCTTCTTCTGCCACTCCTGGTGCTGCCCATATTCTCATTCGGTGTGGACCTGGCACTTCTTTTGTGAAGCAGTAGTTAAGGAGACTTTAGAACTCACCATGGCCAAGGAAAGGCCCAAGGGTTTGTCAGTGAGACAGATCAGATTCCAATTGATGGGCAACCAATCAATGAAACAGACACACCCTCACAGTTGGAAATGGAGGATGAAGATACAATTGATGTGCTCCAGCAGCACGCAGGAGGTGTCTACTGAAAGGGGCACCTGTCTCTTTCCTCCAGAATGCTGTTCTTACAGACCAGTATTAAATTCTCAGTCAGAAAACTGCAATTTGGTTTCACCACATCTTGACTAATAGACTAATACAGTACAGTTTTCTCTATCCTTTCCTTTCCCTTTTCCTCATTCCTTTATAAAATCACATAAAGTAACTAATGTATTTGCACAAGAATATCACATTTTTAAACTTTCTTATTATATTCAGTGGCCAGTGGTATGTTTTAATTGACATCGAGTGGAGACAGGATGGGGGAAAACACTGATTCTGTGAAAATACCCCGTTTCTCCACTACCGGCATGCTCATTCAGCTCTTATCTTTATATTCCAGTAAGTTATTTTGCTCTCACTGTTTTAACAACAACCACCACAACAGAAAAAACATAAAAATCTTTGCATACCTTGTTCAATTGAATAATTTTAATGATTTCGTATCTATTATTGTAAAACCAAGGACAATTTTATAACTTTTTTTGTACGTAGCTGTTACATGTAAGGCAATCTGTTTTTAAGTAGGGTTAAATTACTCTTAAAAAAAAAAAAGAATTCTAGACAGTTTTCTCTTCAAGTCAAGCATGTTGTTGTTTAAGCTTCTTGTTTAAAAATAAATTAAAGTTTTCTCGATTCCTCTGCTCTCTTTCTAGTGTAGGCAGCTGGCATACTGTGTTACAGTCTGTTCACCACTGGTTTCAAATCTTTTTTTTTTTTTTGAGATGCAGTTTCACTCTTGTCACCCAGGCTGGAGTGCAATGGCGTGATCTTGGCTCACTGAAACCTCTGCCTCCTGGGTTCAAATGATTCTCCTGCCTCAGTCTCCCAAGTAGTTGGTATTACAGGCACCCGCCACCATGCCGGGCTAATATTTGTATTTTTAGTAGAGACGTGGTTTCACCATGTTGGCCAGGCTGGTCTTGAACTCCTGACCTCAGGTGATCTGCCCACAGACAGGATCAGGACTTTTCATTCAGCTGGGCTTGAGATCTAAATATCAATGAGATCCCAGAGATCTCTTTATGGTTTAAAACTCGGCTTTCTGAACCTTGGTGTATCTCTCTCTCTGTGTTTGACCATCTGGCAGCTGGATTTTTATATTAGATTTTTCTCTTCAGTCACTCCTCTAGTTTTCTGGCTCTTGTGAGGTCTTTCTCCTTCCTTTTGTCCTGTCCCTAGACATTAGCACTTACTGCTTGCCCTTGGTGAAAGCCTAGTGTTCCTTGAAAAGACTCCTCTCTTGGTTCTTCTGCCCTTGTTCCAGCCTTCAGCAGGCCACTGCTGGTGAGGACTTGGAGTATCTCAGGGTACATTTCCTAGTTCTCCTGCCCTGCTTTCAGTGAAGTTCCTGAGTGCTTTATTGGGGTTTTATGAGCTCTTCTGCCCTGTCTCCAGCCTTTGGCTGCCTCTGCCTTGCACTTGTTGAAGGCGCCATGTATCTCATGGCAGATATCTTTCAGGTCTTCTGCTCTGCTCTCAGCCTTTTGTGTACTATCTCTGTGTACTCAGTAAAGGCCCATAAAAAAACAAGGAGAGGGGGTGCAAACTCAATTTGTGACTAGAGCCCCTTGAGACTCCAGTCCATCATTTCAACCAACCAACGGGCATCAAAAGTTCATCAAGGACAGGCATGGTGGCTGGTGCTTGTAATCCCGGCACTTTGGGAGGCTGAGGTGGGTGTATCAGTTGAGCTCAGGGGTTTGAGACTAGCTTGGGCAACACGGCAAAACCCTGCCTCTACAAAACAAACAAATAAACATTGGTCTAATATGGTGGCACAGGCCAGTAGTCCTAGCTACTCAGGAGGTTGAGGTGGGAGGATCACTTGAGCCCAGGAGGTTGAGCCCTGATCATGCCACTGTATTCTAGCCTGGGTGACAGAGTGAGACCCTGTCTCAAAAAAAAAAAAATGTTCATTAACAGTTCAGCTGAATTCTCACTCCATCCACAGCAGATTCCTCCTTTCTCCACCTTCATTCGAGGTTCACAGTAGCTACGGTTTTCTCTCTGCTGAAATTCATTTCATTTAGATTGTCTTGCATCCTCAGTTCTTTGGTAGGTTTATTTATTTATTTATTTATTTATTTTTGAGGCAGGGTCTTGCTCTGTCATCCAGGCTGGAGTACAGTGGCACAATCACAGCTGCCTGCAGCCTCAGCCTCCTGGGCTCAAGCAATCATCCCACCTTAGCCCCTGGAATAGCTTCACAGCTGGGACCACAGACATGTGACACCACGCCCAGCTATTTTTTTTTTTTTTTTGAGAGATGGTGGTCTTGCTATGTTGCTCTGGCTAGTCTTGAACTCATGGGCTCAAGCAATCCTCCTACCTTGGTCTCCCAAAGTGCTGGGATTATAGACATGAGCCACCATGCCTTGGCCTCTGGTGAGTTTCTTTAAACTATCATTATATAGCTTGTCTAGATGTATCTTGCTGTAAAGGTGGAAGTAATGGTTTCTTGCTACTTTTTATATCCTAATAAGAAGCAAGTGTCTAAAAGTGGTCTTAAAAATTATTAGGTAGCTGAAATTACACACTATTAATTAAGTACACACACACACACACACACACACACACACACTCCATTTCCTAATTTCTCTTTATTTTTTTTTCCTACTCAGTCATCCACAGCACTTTCTATTGTCCACCTGTAGTTCTCAATTGCTAATGATTTTTCTTTCCAGGGGACAGTTGGCAACATCTGGAGACATTTTTTATTGTTACAGCTGGGGAGATGGTGCTATTGGAGTCCAGTGGTGTAGAGATCAGGGATGCTACTAAACATCGTATGGTAAGTAGGACCGCTCTCAACAACAAAAAATTATCTGGTCCAAAATATCAATGGTTCTGAGGTTAAGAAACTCTGTTCTAAGGGAATATGAACAATCGCCTGTAGCAGATACAGTCATTGTTTTTCCACCAATAAATTCTGGTGGCTACCAAGCAAATCAAAAAGCAATAGAAGAGAAAGGAATAATGTGTGTATTGTCTTTCTGATTTCAGGAAGGCAGTGTGTGGATCTTACACATTGTCACATCTCCTGTCACAGTGACTTGTCATGGTAAGGTCATTAATAAATGTTTACTGATTGAATACATGAATGAAAGAGTGAGTGAATGATTCAGTGAATCAGTTGAAGATGCCACCTGCTCTCTGGCAGGCCTCATCTATGAAGCCTTTTCCTGAGCACTCCACTACTTGTCAAAAAACTAGAGCATTTGAAATATGTGCCACATGGTCCCATGAGTTAATATACTCATATTTTGCTCTTTGAAATTAACTAGTTGAAGTATCTCCTCACTTAGTTTGGGTGTGCTTTCAAAACTATCCATTTGTTTCTACATTTGTTACTGGCCAGCTACCATGAGGCATATTGTTGAGCCCTGAGATAATATATTGACTACAGCATGGACTTTGCCTTTGAAAAACTTCTTTCCTGGGGCATGCTTAAAAAAATGTGTATACCTTGAATTATTAAATACGGATCAATGTTTGTGATTATGGTTATTCTGAAAGCATAGCCTTAAACACTGTTTGAAATTTGGAAAAGGAAAAAGATAGACAAGCAAGTCTGCTATAATCTTGATTAATAAATTTCGATCATGTACTGAAACTCAGTATTTTTAATTTTACCAATTATCAACAGAAATGTATAGTTTCCAGAATCATTTTGGGGACAAGATGCAAATCTTAACAAACAATTTACTCCGAAAGAAATGGACTATGAGTTAGGCTGATGTGAGTTGTTGGCTTTTATTTCTGCCCTAGTTATCTGATGCAGATATCCTAGTGGATGATTTATTATGATGCTTGAGTCCTGAGGCTCTTACACTAAGGGTTGAATAATTAGTGAGGAAATGTTTTTCAAATATATTCTGATTCAGACAATTTAACTATGTGTGTCTTTGTGGGCATATATATTTGTGCTCTGAGTTGTATGAGAAAGTTCCAGCACTTTTCCCTTTTCTCTAAAAAGCTTTTTAGACAAATTAATATTGAAAACCACAAAAATGGATGAAATGTATTTTCTTCATCTTTTCACTAATCTTTCTAACATAGGATTATGTTAGAATAATCACCCCCCTTTTTTCTCCATCAGGTTTTTCCCCTGGCTTCATGAGATTTAGAACTCTTTCTTAAGATTACTATAGTGTTAAGAGTTCTGGTTGAGCTGGGCGCGGTGGCTCACGCCTGTAATCCCAGCACTTTGGGAGGCCGAGGCGGGCGGATCACGAGGTCAGGAGATAGAGACCATCCTGGCTAACACGGTGAAACCCCGTCTCTACTAATAATACAACAAAATTAGCGGGGCGTGGTGGCGGGCACCTGCAGTCCCAGCTACTCGGGAGGCTGAGGCAGGAGAATGGCGTGAACGCAGGAGGCGGAGCTTGCAGTGAGCCGAGATAGCGCCACTGCACTCCAGCCTGGGTGACAGAGCGAGACTCTGCCTCAAAAAAAAAAAAAAAAAAAAAAAAGAAAGAGTTCTGGTTGAGGGGAAAGGTGAATATTCAGAGCACAGGCCTGTTCCCATCAAGCACATCCTGCAGTAATAGCCCAGCTAGCTTCATCTGCTACAGTGATGCTCCTCCTATTTGCCTCTGATTTAGGTTTCTGTGAGTGAGGTCCTCTTAGTGACCATATAAGTCAAAGAGGAAAAACTCGATATCCGGTGAAGTCAGTTTGTGCAAGTACAACAAAGTGAAGACACACAGTGCCTAGTGTCTGGTTTCTCTGGAGCTCAGGAACTAGGTGTGTCCCAGCTGTGACTCATGAACATGGCATTTGTTACGTTAACCTAAGGAGACTACAGACTTTATTTGCTGTCCTTGTAGCACCTTTTGTCAGCAGAAAACCCAGACTGGCAAACAGAACTGTATGATTCTGAGTTTGAAGGAGGCAATCTCTAAATCAAAAGGCCAGAACCTATGTTCATCGTGGTGTACCTGCTCTGTTGTAAAACAAGGAGGAATAATTTTCTGTTTATTACTCATAAGACCTGGACTTAGGGATGCTGAGCTCATCAATAGAGAATGAAGCCCAAATCAATAATTATCTTCTATTGCAAAGTATTATTTCCTCCATACTGGTCTTTCTCTGGTGAAGGATTCAGTGAGTATTTGCGCTTTGAGCTGTTACTATATAATTATCACACAGATAAGGTCAGTAGGTAAAAGCTGAGCACTTCAAATAACTAACTGAGGCTTCATCTCTCTCCTTTGTGCCTCCAACAAAGGATGTGGTTAGGAAATACAGGGAAGGAACCCCTCCCCACAGGCTGGTAGGTTATCTCATTGCTTTGAGGGGGCCCTGCCTTCTGCTGCCTTCTTAGTTTGTATTACCCCTAGGGGCAAGGCCTCTAAAGTGAGTAGGTCTATCACTTTCTGGGTGGTAGGAGTCCTGCCAGCTCATGGTGGGAGACTCACAGATGAGGAGGGACCTTGTCAACACCCTGGGGGTGGAACAAGACCTCACTCATTAAGCCTTTGTTTCAGAAGCTAAGCATCTAATTAGGATTTTTCTGGTGGAATTACAAGCATTTCTTTTTTAAGTGGTTTAAGACAAAGGACTGGGAATGGGGTAACAATATGACAATTTTTAAACATATAGTAGCTGCTGAGACTCAGAAGAGAGGAATAGACTCCCAGCAGGAAGAATTACTAAGCCCTGGATGTTAAGACTAAAGAAAATTGTGAGATTTTATTCCCTGGCTGTCTTAAAAAATATGATGCGTCATTATTTCTCTGCCATTTGCAAAATAAAGCCAGCCTGAAGGAAACGCACAAGGGATGGTTTCTTCATTCACTCAGAAGACACCTGCCGTGAGACAGGCAGTGTGCAAGATTGGTCTGGGGAATGCAAAGATAAATTGGATCCAGCCCTTACCCCTCACATGGCTTCTATTCTACCTACCAGGGAATCCAGTGACCATTTATTGAGGTTCCTTGGTATTATTTAAAAAAATACGTGGTAATATCAACAAACCCGAATTTAATGCTTGGCATTATATATGTCAAGATGAAGCTAGACACAAGAGATCTGCTATGCTTTGCAATGTGCCTTTTTAAAGACCCATCTTACCGACAACATGAGATGAGTGCTGTCTGTGCTGCTGCCTCGTGGCTGCCCTCCACCCCCAATTCTCTATCAAAGAGATGTTGACAGGGAGATGATGACAGTAGAATATATAACAGCCAATCAACACCTTTCATACAAAGCTCTGTAGCCAGATACCACAGTCAGAGGAACCTACCAAATTATGTATTTCATTCACTTTATGCTCAGCGCAATTAGACAAATTGCTATGGAAAGCATATATCCTGGAGTGACACCAAGAGCAACGTGTCCCAGGTGCCGAACAGAACATGGAGAGACAAGATCCCCAATCCCAAGAAGTTTCCACTGTCCTTGGAACACTGATAACTCCCCCTGGAGAATACTGCAGGTGATTTAATTAACAAAACAAGAGGAGGCTCAATGAGTGGGGCAAACTATCCAAGGATGAAGGGAAGAAGGAGAAAGGTGAGGGTTTATTACCATCTCAGTAAAGACCTATTGATAGTTAAAATTTCTATGCTGTACTTAGAAATGCTGAGTTCCTAGTGATACAGGAGCTAGAAAGAAACAATTTAGGCAGTTAGTGATGGAAAGAGAGTCCTCAGCAAAGCTTCCCTTTCAAAAAAAGCAGCCCCCAAATAATTTCTTTTCTAACAAAGAGCAGCCTGAAAAATCAAGCTGCAGACACAGATAAGCAAGCTAGAAGCTTGCACAGGTGAATGCCTGCAGCTGTGCCAATAGAAAAGGGCTACCTAGGAGCCAGGCATATCCAACATGGAGTCTTCATCTTCCCTTTCCTTTGTCACCACATGTGCAATAAGGGAATACACAACGTGGCACCAGCCATGTAGAGAACACACTTGAATAATAAAAGATTAGCGTAGGATGGCCAGTTTCTTCACGTGCTATGTAAATGGAACACCTGGTCCAACCAATCTCTTGTGTGCTATGTAAGTCAGACACCACCTCCTCAAGCTCATCTATAAAACCAGCCGCATCTTGCTGTGAACCTGGAAACCCATCTGGGACCCCTTCCTCTGCACAAGGGAGCTTTCCTCTTTCTTTCACCTATAAACTTCCGCTCTTAAGCTCACTCCTTGTGTGTCCACATCCTCGATTTCCTTGGTGTAAGATGATGGAGCTTGGGTATTTAGCTCAGACAATGCCGCCGCTTCACTAGTTTGTGTGCAATTTTACAAAGCTCAGCTTAAAAAAAAAAAATTCAACTGATTAGACCCAACTCTAGGAATTGCAGTTCATCAGACAATAGTAAGATAAAGATTTCTGTCTGTTTGGTTCTATTCTACCAAGGTTGGTTAAGTGACAGATTCTGTGCCAATGCTGAAGGTATGGAAATAAATGCGATTGCCTATTTTAAGGAAGTTTAAGTCTATTGGAAAACATCATCATGAACAAACAGAATTACTAACAGACTAAAAGAGATATATGCTAAATATAGGTGTGATGAGATAAAAATTTCAACCAGCAGAATTCTTTTTGGAAAAATACTTTTGTAAAGCAAAATTTAAAAAATCTCAGGATCGGCTGGGGACGGTGGCTCACACCTATAATCCCAGCACTTTGGGAGGCTGAGGTGCGTGGATCACGAGGTCAGGAGTTCAAGACCATCCTGGCCAATACAGTGAAACCCCATCTCTATTAAAAATACAAAAATTAGCCTGGCATGGTGGTGCGTGCCTATAGTCCCAGGTACTCAGGAGGCTGAGGCAGGAGAATCGTTTGAACCTGGGAGGCAGAGGTTGTGGTGAGCCGAGATCATGCCATTGCACTCCAGCCTGGGCAACAAGAGTGGAAGAAAAGAAAAGAAAACAAAACAAAACAAAACAAAAGATCTCAGGATCTCCAAACTCCTTAAGCAAAAGGGAAGGTTTAGCCTGGAGGTTGAGTCATGCAGCACCCTCTTTCAAATAAATAGCTGTTACTAGCATTCCTCATTAGCCAGGTCTCTGGCATCTGCAAAGGACTGCCCCACAGATCATTCATAGGGAATTTCTTTTCTGGCCTCCCATAAACAAGGTCATGCCAATTGTAACTTTAGGTCTGCAATCTAAGTCTAGCTCCTAAAACTAACATATGATAATATAGAATACAGGCCTGTCTTCCCAGGTGCAGAACAAAGACAAGACAAGAAACTTCCTGACTTTTCCTTTACTCCCTTTTTTCTCTGCAAACATTCACCTTATCTTACATAAAATGTAGATTTATTGGGTACTAACTAAAGTCTCCCTAGAATGTAACCATCCCCCTTACTGCCTGCTTGCCCCCTCTTCCTACATGTCTTCTCCCCTTAAAAAAAAGTATAAATACTATACCTCCTAAAAACCCCTTTGGAAAAATAGCCACAGATGTGTCTGTGGCCCACGTTTTTCCAGGTGTGCTGTAAAGCTGGCTTAATAAACCTTGTCTGATTGAGACTTTTGCCTCAGTCTCACTGAGGTTCTTACCTTGTTCAGATGAACGGTGTGAAGCAGGAAGGGTGTGAAGCAGGAAGGGAGAAGGCAAAAACACACTCAAGTAACAACAGATGTCTCCGATATTGCCTTAAGGGGATAATAGATCTTGTTAATGAAAGGGAACTTCATTTTCTGAATACTATGGGGGATTTGATGCCGTGCTTTTTGAAAGCAGAAGCTGGGGCAGAGATGAACATCTTTGCATAGCAGAGAGGAAAGCAATCTTAAGTTGATAGGAAGCAGGGATGCAGGAAGAAGAGAGATGTCTACCAAAGAGAGGATAAGGAGAGCATGAAGGTCAAATGATGCCTCCGACATGGTGTGCCGCCCTGATTGTGATATAGTCTCTCCCTCCTGTCCTCATGAAGACATCTTCATAAAGTAGGCAATGATTGCTGCGGCTTTTGTGTATCTTTTTGAGGAATTTGGAGTTCTCTCTGGGTTGGTGGGAGGAGCGACTGAGCAAAACAGCCTGCATGGACTCCACACCACTAATTATTGCCAACATCATCAACTGTGTGCTGTGCAAATAAGCTCCTAACAGGGCTCTGCTCTTTCACCCTGCTTCTCCAATGGTCTTTTCTCCACTGAATAGCCTAAACAAGTTAAACCCTAAGTTGAATTGCATACACCTGCTCAAAACTCTTCAGTAGCACTCCTTTCATTTAAACAAAATTCACTTTCCTAGCCATGGTCAACAAGTCCCTACTTGAGAGGTTCCTGGCTTCCTCTCTGAGCTCATCACCTGCCACTCCCCTATTTCTTACTCAGCTGCAATCTCATTTTTCTCCTCTTTGTTGTTGAGCACTTGAAGCTGTTTCTCACACCAGGCATTTGCTTGCATTTACCATTTGCTCTGCTGGGATGCTCTTCCTCCGGACGCCCACCTGACTCACCTTTCTTTCTAGCAAGTCTCTTCTCAAGTGGCGTCTACTTGGTGATCACATACCTGCTTCCCCCTTTCTTAATGAGCACCCTCCACTCTCACTCCCTACCCCCTGACCTGTCCCTTTTCACAGCATTCATATGTTTGTTCGTTATCTGATTTTCCCATGCTGGAATGTAAATCCCACTGGAGCATGGGCTTTGTCAGTTGTGTCATGCTATGTCTCCAGAGCCTACAATAGTCCCTGACACAAGGTAGGTAATTAATAAACACATATGGAATGAATGAGGTTGTCTAGGGAGTCTCACTGTTTTCGCCCAGGCTGGAGTGCAGTGGCGTGATCTCGGCCCACTGCAACCTCCGCCTCCCGGGTTCAAGCTTTTCTCCTGCCTCAGCCTCCTAAGTAGCTGGGATTACAGGCTCCCACCACCACGCCCAGCTAATATTTTGTATTTTTAGTAGAGACAGGATTTCACCATGTTAGCCAGACTGGTCTCGAACTCCTGACCTCAGGTGATCCACCTACCTCGGCCTCCCAAAGTGCTGGGATTACAGGCGTGAGCCACCGTGCCCTGCCTGATGTGTTTTGTTTTATTCAAGAATTCTTCATAAGGGAGTCAGTGAGGAGAGGGTGGGTCTGGCCTCTTCCCTGGGTCTGTATAATTGGACTCTGGAAAATGGAATTCCAAGCCAAGGGCATCCTGGGAAGGCTTGTGTGTGCACACTCACCCATGAGGCCTGCCCGTCCTCCTGTGCTGTGGTGCTCAGACGGCTTCCTGTGCAGGTGACTGACTCAGGGCTCTTTTCACTGGGGACCTAGATAACAAATTGTTCTTGTGACAACTTAGGGAGCAGAGCAGAGAACAGAGTGAGAAGACAGAGGGAGAAAAGTGGTGGAGCTAAGAAAGGAATATGAAATATGATTTTTTTTAAGGCAGCCAGGTAGAATAGAAATGGGGGAGGGTGGTGGGTGCAATATCTCATGCCTGCAATCCCAACACTTTGGGAGGCTGAGGGGGGCGGATCACCAGGTCAGGAGTTCAAGACCAGCCTGGCCAACATGGTGAAATCCGGTCTCTACTAAAAAATACAAAATATTAGTCGAGTGTGGTGGTGGACGCCGGTAATCCCAGCTACTCGGGAGGCTGAGTCAGGAGAATTGCTTGAACCCGGGAGGTGGAGGTTGCAGTGAGCCAAGATCACGCCACTGTACTCCAGCCTGGGCGACAGTGCAAGACTCCATCACAAAAATAAAAAAAGAAATGGGAGTTGGGGTAATTTTCACTCACTTCTCCACTAGAGGGTTCCCCCTAACCCCCTTCTCTCTGTTTCTTTTACTTGTGTCACCAATTATAAGAAGACACAGAGCAGTTGCTTGGACCTTCTTCTTGCTGGATCAGAGATGCTTGGGCCACAACTTTAAAAGTAGAAATTGATGTGTGTGACAATGATAATGCAAATGGCTACTAACTGTTGAGTGCCTCCACTTCTAAAGCTCAGTAGAATGCCCTTATGTTATCTCCAATCTTTACAACAGTGTTAGAAGTGGGGGATTATCCCATTTTACATATAAATAAATTGAGTCTCGGGAAGCACTAAATGTATCTGGATCTCTCTGTTGCTTGGAAACATTCGTCTTTGGTATTTTCCCTTTCCCAGAAGCTCACGTTCAGCCTTGAGCAGAGTCAATAGTTACTGTAAGTGGTGATGAATTGAAGGGAAGGTAGAAAAGCTTCAAGGACGAGATTTGAATTATCTTTGACAATGTAATAGTGTGCAACCCTGTACTTTAATCTGCCTGGCAGATTGGAGTTGAGGAAGAGGCGTCAGATAGCAACAGGATGGAGTCATAGACAGGCATCATCCCCTACCTCACCTCAACCCCTATGTTAGAAGGACAATACTATGTGGTTAAAATGTGTGAACTATCAGACACAAGAGAACTTATTTCTTTGGGGAATGAGGTTGGGGTGTTAGAGCTACAAAGGAGGCCATGCAGCCAGCATTGAAGTCAGTTGATGGGAAAAAAGGGGTTGAAGAAAATATCTCAAAAAAAGGGGTTGGCGAGAAGCAAAGATCTGTTCTAAAACCAACTCTTCATTACTCATCATGCTGTGGCCCAGAACAAAAAAAGGCAGGGGCCATAAAATTGCAAAAGAAATCTTAAAATCTCATTTTAATTTTGAATTTCCTCCAGAAAATGTGCTTGGAAGGTTGCTAAAAAGCAGCTACATCCATAACTTCTATTTTACCCTCCTGTATTTTTCCTTTCCCTTCCTTAAAATAAAAATGGACAATCCTTAACACAGCATTTTTTTTCCCATCAACTGACTAGAGGGATCTGAGGTTATTCCAAGCTTTATCTGTAGAATAATCAAGGATTGGTTGCAGTTTGGGGTGAGGGGGACAGCCTACTCTCCAGTGTTTTGTGCATGGCTGAAGGCGGTCTGCTAATATGTGAGCACATAAGGAGCTTGCTAATTTGTCCATTAAAAGATTTGTCAACCAAACAGCCTACCACACAAGAACTGCCCTAGGCTTCAGAGCCAAGAAGTCAAAACAAACATCAGTGGGGCCCATGGATTTGGGTCACTGAGATAAAAGGGAAAAAATTTATTTTGGTGCCTGGCTTGTGTTATCCCATCCCAGGCTGTGGCTGTTGGCTTTGACTGCTAGGAAACCAAGCAGCCAGTCACAGTTCCTGGGTAAGTGGACCCAATTATTTACTCGTCCCTTACTTCTTTTAAATCTCTGAACCATTCATTCATTTGCCCCAGCTGATTTCCTCTGTACCTCTAAAAGTTGGGTCTGAAGGGAGTTTAGAGTGACGCTGAAGAATCTCAGGTGCACTAGATTACCACTGACTTTGCTATTACTTTGAATGTAAAAGAAATGCTGTTGTTAATGCAGCTGATAAGCCCCTGGCAGGCTGGACTGAATAACCCAGAAACTCCTAACATCTAAGGTCTAACACTTTCACCTACTTGGGCTTTTATCTCACTGTCACCGCCTATTTATCCTCCATTCAGCAACAAGCTCCTTGAGACCTGGTATTCCAGCACCCAGCACAGTTCTTGGCAAACAGTAGGAGCTCAACAAATATTTAGTGAGTAAATGGAATGAGATTGTGCAGATTCCCATGATGTCACCTCATGAGGTTGCTCAAGTAGGCAGATCCTCTGAAGCATTCTAGAAGGGCGAATGAGAACCTTGGGGCAGGGACTCTATCTCATTCATCCCTGTATCCTGGAGCACACCGTTTGCTTAAGAATGAATGAAGCCCTGTCATTGCTCAAGGGATGGGAGTGGGTGGGTGATATGTTTTGGGATAGTCCCACCCCATCCTCAGTTTGCAAGGTCCTCAGGAGATCCTGCATCGGAATGTGTCAGAGAGGTCCAGCTGTTGCTAAAAACCTCCAGAGGGATCCAAATGGGGGGCACTTTCCACAGACCACGTTCTCGTTTCTAAACTGCTGGCAACACAAGCAGACTTGAGGAGGTAGCCAGTGGGGCAAAAGTCCTAGGCTCTGTTAGCCAACTGGGGGACAGAAATAACAGGAACAGGAGGAATGGCTTTAACAATCATACTTTATTATGATTGCAGGAAAACCACCCAGGAAACACAGGCCCGACTGTTCATAACTCAAAAACAGGAAATGGACAAAACTTACGATAAGGGGAAGGATAAATGATTAGCTTAAAGGGAAAA